>NC_000003.12:169766180-169917695 GCF_000001405.40 Homo sapiens | reverse complement strand
CACTCCAGCCTGGGTGACAGAGCGAGACTCCGTCTCAAAAAATAAATAAATAAATAAATAAATAAATAAACAAACAAATAAAAATAAAAATAACTAAGTATAATTGGATTGTTTGTAATACAAAGAAATGATAAATACTTGAGGTGATGGATAGGCCGTTTACCCTGATGTGATTATTATGCACTGTATTCCCATATCAAAATATCTCATGTGCCCCCGTAAGTATATACACCTATGTACCCATGAAAATTAAAAATTAAAAATAAATAAATAATTGGGTTTTCTTATTGTTTTTAAAAATCTGAGATACCTGCAACTATATTTAAAGAAAAAGATACTAGGAAGAAAATGTTCTGCTTTTCAAAGTAGTGACCTTTATTTCCTTGTGTGTATTTGATTAAATTGTGTGTTTGATTTAATTTTTAAAATAGAGGTTAATTCATTCACATGGTTCAAATACTAAAAATATAATGGTATTTAAATATACAATCACTTTGTTAGCTTCTTTTTCAGAACTAACCCCACTAATCAAATTGGAAATCCAAGTCCATGGATCACCTAACATCACCTTTTGCCATTCATACATACATATTAAAGTTCTTTATCTCCATTTACTTTCACTGTATTTCTGTGAGGTCAGTATACTTTCCTTTCTGATAGTGGCCTCAGAGAGTTTAGTTACCACCACACAGTCAGGATTAGAATAAAAATCTGTGCTAGGTGCCTGTAAGCCATGGAGGATGCCAGCAGAGAACACAGGCTGGGTCGGAGATGGGCTGGGCTCATAACTCTAGCGAGGACCCTGCCCCGCAACTTGAAATCTCAGGTGCTCCTCATGGGATTCGGTGCACAGCTGCCTTCTTCCCTCTAGACCATTTACAACAGAACAATGGGGGACACCACTAGGTGTTTCATTTTGAAAAATTGTTGAACTTTGATTTGTGTCATGAATCGATGGTCTCTAGCAGAAGATTGAACTTACTCATAAGTGAGGAGTGAGATAGAATTTTTGATGTTACAGGCTCTATTTTGTTTTTTGTTTTGTTTTGAGACAGAGTCTCACTCTCTTGCCCAGGCTGGAGTGCAATGGCGTGATCCTGTCTCACTGCAACCTCTGTCGCCCGGGTTCAAGCAATTCTTCTGCCTCAGCCTCCTCGGTAGCTGGCATTACAGGCACTCACCACCACGCTCGGCTAATTTTTTTGTATTTTTAGTAGAAACAGGGTTTCGCCATGTTGGCCAGGCTGGTCTCAAACTCCTGACCTCAAGTGATCCACCCACCTCAGCCTCCCATAGCACTGGGATTAGACGTGTGAGCCACCACGCCTGGCCTATAGGCTCTATTTTGTACAGCAGTTATCTAGAACTTACTCGTCTAGCATAAAAGAAACTTTATCCATTGGACAACAGTTCTCCACTTCCATCACCCCCTAGCCTCTGGCAACCACTATAATATTTTCTGCTTCTATGAGTTGTACTATTTTAGACACCTCAGAGAAGAAGAATCATGCAGTATTTGTCCTGCTGTGACTGGTTTTTTCACTTAGCATAATGTCCTTCAGGTTCGTCCATTGTGCATGTCAAAATGTGTTAAGAAGGTAAATTTCATGTTGAGTGTTCTTGCCACAAAAATCAAACAAAAACAAAGGGACACAAGAAAACTTTAGGAAGTGTTGGCTATGTCTGTTACCTTGATTAAGTGGTGGCTTCATGGATTATGCGTATGCCAAAACTCATCAAATTGTACACATTAAATAGGTGCAGTTCTTTTATATCAAATTTTCCTCAATAAGGGTATTTTTAAAAATATAGGGCTCAGGCTGGGTGTGGTGGCTCACGCCTGTAATCCCAGCATTTTGGGAGGCCGAGGTGGGTGGATCATCTGAGGTCAGGAGTTCGAGACCAGCCTGGCCAACATGGTGAAACCCCGTCTCTACTAAAAATACAAAAATTAGCCGGGTGTGGCGCCTGTAGTCCCAGCTACTCAGGAGGCTGGGGCAGGAGAATTGCTTGAACTCAGGAGGCAGAGGTTGCAGTGAGCCAAGATCGCACCGCTGCACTCCAGCCTGGGCAACAGAGGGAGATTCTGTCTCCAAAAAAAAAAAAAAAAAAAAAAAAAAAATTATATATATATGGCTCAGCTTGTATCCTATGTGATGTCTGAGACAAGTCAGGAAAAAGGAGAAGGAAAAAGGAAGAAAGAGAGGAGCAAGAATTGCTTAGAGACTCACCACCTCTTCCTCTTACATGTTACCTTTAGGAAAAGCCGTGGAGATGAATCACCAAAAGGAGATGAGATTGTCTTACTTTGGAATCCCCAAAGGAGGCCCTAAGACAAGAAATTAAGTACAGTAGTTTATTTGGGAGGTAATCCCAGGAAGCCCGTGTGAAGGAGTAGAAAAGCAAGACCAGGAAGGGAAAAGTCAAGAAAGGCTGAGTGAATTAATGTGTGGGTTTTCACTGTGGGCAACTGGTGCTCAACCCTGCTGGGAGCCCTCTAAGAAACCTATGGTACACATCTCAGAATTGTCCTCATGAAGGGCAAAGAGTTGGCCCATCAACTTCTGTTGGCCATTGGTTGAGGGCACAGTTCTCCTTTGCATATGGATTATGCTTGAGCTAGACACAACAAGCTCCTGTGGTGCAGGAGAAAACCTTCAGACTGAGAAAGGGAGATGCAGGTGCTTCAGATGGGAAATGACTTCCATGGTTGCAGGTGAATTCAGAAGGAGGCCAAGAAGATGTAAGGTAGGGCAGCAATGGTGACTAGTGCTATTGAGGCAATGTGGCAGACTTCTAATGTCATTCCAGTAGATAATTGGCACAAATGCCTTTCTTCTGAAATACCAGGTTTGCCAGGCTTAGGCATATCTATATGAGGCTCTGTAGGTTCCATTGTCTGCAACAAAACAGCAGGATTTTTTTTTTTGCCATTAGTCACAAGTTATGTGAAATAAGTGGGAGAACTCAGTGCTATTTGGCCAATGGGAAAGGATAAGTCTTATCTAATGTACAATTAAAGCTATCCTTGGTACCACATCTGTTCTTGATTCCATGGTTCTTGGGTCTGGCTTGCTTTCTTTTTGAAATGCCAGGGGAGTGGTTCATTGTTTTTTAATCAGTCCACCAAATTTTAATCTAAAATGCAAGCTATTCCAAGTGCCTGCAGAAATGTCCACATGTCATGGAAGTCCCTGGGCAGGACGATGAGTCATTGGCATCTGCAGCTCCTGTGTGTTACAGTTCTGGGCTCCACTTGGCTTCCCTCATTTGTTTTAATCCTTGCACTTATGAACTAGTACTTATTTACTTATCACTATCATATCGACTGATGCCCAAATTTTCCTTAAAGAAAAGGATTGCCTAGTTTCTTTTGTGCCTGTTTTCATGCACATACCTCAAATTACATAGTTTTAACTTTTATTTTTCAGAGAAGTTTTCAGTACACAGAAAAATGGAGTGGACACTACAGAGAGTTTTCATATCCTCCCCCAACACACACATGCACAGCTTCCTCACTATCAACATCCTGCATCAGAGTGTACATTTGCTACAATCAGTTAAGCTACACTGACACATCATTGCCACCCAAAATTCATAGTTTACATGTGGATTCACTCTTGGTGTTGGACATTCTATGATTCTGACAAATGTAGAATGGCATTTATCCACCATTACAGTATCATACAGAATAGTTGCACTGCCCTATTTGCTTCAAAATTACATTTTGAAGCAAATAAAATCAGAATACTTTTAAGGCAACGTTCTAAGGTTGATCTGATCTTTCCCTTCATCAGCCAGGTAGATACTTGAAACTCCAAATTTGTGTTGCCTTAAAATCATTGTTTTGAGGGTACTGTGTCATATGATCAAGCACGAGTCTTTAAATGTGAACTTTCATATTTTCAGGGCACCCCTTTCTATTTTAGACACATGTAGACAAATTGTAAACTAAGGTCACTTTGCAGTAGCAGATGAAATGCTCAAGTAAAAGTGCAGACTGGAATATAAATTTTCAGTGCAGAGCGTGTCTGGTAATCCCAAAGTGAGGGAGTGCAGTGGTGCTTAGGTCTGCATTCAGCCTGGATTTCTCTGACCCAGAGCTCTAATCCTGGATGCCCAGCACATTAGGAGGATGAGGACTCCTTAATCTCTGTCTTCAGACTCTTACCCTCAACAAACCCCTCCAGGCAGCACATAGATGATTTACCTAGTGCTAATTCTGTCTCAACTGATTAGGGCAGTAGTAGTAAGACATGAACTTCATGAACTAAAGCCCTTGCCAAATCAGCAGATATTCACGGAATGATTTCCCAGTGCCCAGGAGCCGGGTGCCAATTTTATTATATTTGTCTGTTATTGGCTATACTGTGATCTTTCATTAAAATCAGTGCAATTTGAGTTTGGAAAACCCTATATTTGACTAATCGTATGTAGAATATTTATGGTATGTATGATGCATGTTTTCTGATTACATACATTAAAATGAATTAATTTTTAAGTAACTGCTGTATCTGGTAAGTTTTTGTATGTGAAAAGTAGATCAGTAGAATTAAATGTTTCCACAGTTCTGAGATAAATAAATGTAAGATAAATAGATGTAAATTCTTAAATTAAAATGAGAGCAATTTTTACAATTCAGGCCTGGCTTCTTGCGAGTTTTCTTGGCCTTCTCTTAGGCAGTACCCCAACAACTCCAAAGTAATTCCTCCTACTTATGTTTTGCAGAGGCCTTTGTAGTCCATCTCCTCCAACTCTCTCTGAGCACAACCCAAATAGGCCTTCTCCTGGGTCCCTCCATATCTTGCTCCCCTTCCCATCTCTGCCAAGGACGGAGGAGAACTTTAGAAAGACAGTTCATACCGAAGCACTTGGCAGTGCTGCTAAAATGTATTTCACTTTTCCTAAAGGCATAAGCTTTAGGACTTTTCTAACTGCATTTCACCATAGCACATACCCTGGAAAGCATTGAAGACAGTGGGTTACGTGCTGGCTGCTGTCACTTCTTATTTCTTTTTACTCTGGAAGCTCATTTTCATTAGACCTATCCATGTCTTCTTGAAATGTCAGGTTCTAGGCACAATTACAAGTATTGTAAAGAAAAAGGTAAACCTTTGACATCATTAAAGAAGTCAAAATTATGTAATTTCTACTGGACTCAATATAATTTATGTGCAACTACAGTTTGTATAAATTATGTTCACTTTCTTCAAAAGATTGTGAAGCAAAGTCCATTATATATAAATCTGTAGAGACTAAAGTGAAATTCTAGCAGTACTCATATAATGGAACTGAATAGTAGGTGTTTTAGTTAGATAGTCTTAAAGAATGAATTAAGGAATATCAATATAGATTTTATTTCATGATTATCATTGATTGTTCCTCAATGTTTTTCTGAAATTTTCTACTCTGACATTTCATGGTTCATACATCATGACAATTTTTGGAATATAGATATCTATAGTAATGGGGGGCCATTAAAATAATAATATATAGTAAATAAACAGCAGTAATACATAGAGGTAGGTACTTCATCTGTTTGAAGATAATAAAACTACAGTAAATTTACATACAACTTTGAACTGACTTTATCTTAAATAAACTTCATTTTACTTTCACTTAAAAAACTCCAAAAACTAAGACCAGGCAGTGTTTATTTGGTAGGAGTGGTATATCATCTTTACTCGTTAGTAACTTCAGTCAAGTAGGAATTTATTAGCTCACATACTGTTAGTAATAGCCAGTAAAGTCTACACATAAACCTAAGCATTTCCTTTAAGATAAAGATGTCCTTTTATTTTATATGTGAAACATTTTACTCAGAGTAACTGGCCTCAATTTTGGGCTAATCAATGTGTAGAGTTACATACTTACATCCTCTATGAAGACTTCTTGTCTTTGATATTGCAGATGGAAGAACCATACAAAGACTTTCTGGCCTTCAACTGCAGAAGCTTCTCTGGCTGCGGGTTGAAAGGTACATCTGACAATTCTTTCAAAAATGGTCTTAATTCAGTTTAACCTTGCTTTAAATACAAATTCAACTAAGTTGATTAGTCCTATTTCATGACAGAAACTTTGCCCTCTGATATCCTCTACAGATAGGCTAAAAGATGTTAAGCCCAAGGAAAGTGCCCTGCAAGGTGCATAAACCTGTCTCAGAGCTTAGCCTTTAGTGTAATCCTTCCTTAGCCTTTAAGATGCTTTGTGGGCATTCACTTAATACCACTGTTCAACTTGACACAAAAGAAATATACTATGCAAATAAGTAATAAGCTTTTCTTTGATGGAACTATATAGCCTATTCCATATTTCCAACAGGTTTCAAGTGGAAACATTTCTTTTGCGAGTAGGAAAAAACCTAAGTTATTTTCCACAGAGCTGAAACATTTGATGAAAGATGGCAGTCTATTTTAAAAAGAAGCTTCTATAATGGACAACTGTACTTTAATTCTCACAGGCAGTGAGAAAACCCTTTATCATCTGTGTGAGAGCTGTGATCTATATAAGAGGGAAAACACGGAATTTTGAAAATGTGACCTGTTATATTTGCTAGAGAAACATTTATAGCTTGAAAAAGAACATCCATATTTTTTGATTCCTAGTAATTTACTAGTAGGAAGTACAAAATAAGAATTGAATATAAGAAATTTAAGTTGTGTTTCAAGTAATGCTTTAGGCTTCCAGTTTGAAGGTAACCTGCTCCTTTGTTGACACACATTTTTATCATTGGCTGTTGAACTCATTATAAGAAATAGCATGTGGAACTGACTGTATTTATTCCAGGGTTATTGTTCATAAAGCAGTGGTCAACAGCAGGGACTTAGATGACCAACAGACTCAATAAGCCTCAGCACCACCACTCATTAGCTGTATGGCCTGGCCAAGTTACTGAACTTCTCTGAGCCTTAGTTTCCTCATCTCAGAAGAGCCCTTCTTGGGAAAGGGAAGGCAACAAGGTAGACAAAATGCTTGAATAGTTCTCACTAAACATTAGCCATTATGTTAGGTAACTATATTGCACAGAGTCCTCTGTTGAGGATCCATGGGAGGAATTTTTCTCAGCTTGTAGTACTAGGGACAATTGTTTTGTTGTTGTTATTGTTGTTGTTGTTGTTCTGAAAAATAAGGCCAAAATAAAACCTCAGGAATCACGTAACTAGTGTGTTGCATTCTTTGTGTTGGTTAGTAGGAAGTTCAGGACCTGCCTTTAGGCATGCATTTTATTATATTTTTATTTATTTATTTTTGAGACAAGTTCTTGCTCTGCCACCCAGGCTAGAGTGCAGTGGCACAATCATGGCTCACTGTAGCCTCTATGTCCCCAGACTCAAGCAATCCTCCCACCGTAGCCTCCAAGTAGCTGGGACCACTGGTGCACGACCGCATGCCTGGCTAATTTTTTTTCTGTATTTTTTTGTAGAGACAGGCTTTCGCCATGTTGCCTAGGCTGGTCTTGAACTCCTGGACTCTAGCAATCCACCCACCTCGGCCTCCCAATGTACTGGGATTATAGGCGTGAGCCACCATGCCCAGCCTAGACATGCATTTTAAAACCAGAAATGATCTATGGCTTCATCTTATTTTTCCTAACATTATTTTCCCTTTGCCCTAATTTTTACTAAACTGTCTTTCTTGTGTTGTATATGCATTTTGAAGTGTCTCATAAATTATTAGCATTTATAATATTTATGCATACAGTTTTTGTTTTTTTTTGTTGTTGTTGTTTGTTTGTTTTTTTGAGACAGAGTCTCACTCTGTCACCCAGGCTGGAGTGCTGTGGCGTGATCTCAGCTCACTGCAAGCTCCACCTCCCGGGTTCACGCCATTCTCCTGCCTCAGCCTCCTGAGTAGCTGGGACTACAGGCGCCCGCCACCATGCCCAGCTAATTTTTTTTTTTTTGTATTTTTAGTAGAGACGGGGTTTCACCGTGTTAGCCAGAATGGTCTCGATCTCCTAACCTTGTGATCTGCCCACCTCAGCCTCCCAAAGTGCTGGGATTACAGGTGTGAGCCACTGCGCCCCGCCCTAATGCATATACTTTGTTTGTAATCACTCTGGTAGTCTCATATTAGAAGAGCTTGTATCTGAAAGACTTGCTTATACATTGTTCAACAGAAACTTATAAATGTATTGTTTTCATAGAAGCAACATCATAAGGAGTAATTAGGTTTGCACCAGCCCATAAACATCAATCTAACAGTGTAACAGCGGTACTCATTCCAACATAGAGCCACCATTTATATTTCTGTTTCTCTGGAAAATGTGATCAGTGTTATCAGTGGGGTTCATTAACGACATTTACTCCTGACTCAGCTCCGGTGAGTTCCCAAGACCCTCACTTGCGGTTGTTACTCCTCTTACTCCCCACACAAGCTCCTGCTATGATGGTGGGGCTGAGACTGTGTTAAAGAAGGAACTCTGGCAGGTGGAATGAGGTGAGTTAGAGGCTTCTAGAGTCTGAGGCTGATTGGAAGTGGGAGAGAAAAGGTAGGAACTTCCTTGTATTCAGTTAGTGCATACCAGTCTGGCTATGCCGATTGTTAAAATACTGACATTTTCCCACACCGGTTGGAAAATAGCCACTGCCCTGAGCCCCTAACTGCTCACCCACCCCAGTTGCTCCTGGACAACCTCTCCCCGCAGTGCAACATCTAAAGGGGTAGTTCCTAACGCAGCCGGGGGCAGGCAGCTCCTGCTTGGGCACCTCAGCCAGCCTCCGGTTGCAAACAAACCAGTCAGTTCTGGAGGTGATTACCCACTAAATGAGAGGGATCACAGTGCGGAGGAGTGGGAGGGCCCACAGGTCTCTGGCTATTTTGGGACTAATTGGAAGAAGCTCCACCGGAAGAGAGGAACAGGTGACAATAAGCCACCAGCAATGGCCTTGGGGATTATTTGTTAGTCATTCAGGAGTGTTGTAAATTTGCGCCCTACACTCTGTACAAAGAAAAGCCTTTTTACTTTCCTGCAATTGATCTAGTATCCCTCCAAAATCCTACTCTCTGGGTAAGAGGTGAAGACTACATTTAGTCAAATCTGGTCAATTCCAACTTATTCAACAATATAAGGAGACAATGTTTCACATGTAACATAGTCTCTTCCAAGATGAAATTGTCTCTTTTGGATTTTTAATTCATCTCCCTTTCTTCCCCAAGATGACACGTGAGATGACACGTGTCCTGGCGATGGGAAAGTGGAGGATGGGGTATCAGAGAGTGTTGAGGGCCCATGTACTGCCCTTTGAGTCTCCTGATGCTGCCTCAGGCTGGAGGCTCTGGCTTTAGACACAGACATCATCGTGGTCTGTTTGCCAGGAGGTCATCCTGGCTGACTCAGCATCATGTTGTCCCTTGCTGTGACAGGGACACAGTAGAGCTCTAGGGTCTGGTCCTGATGCCTGTTCATCCCTTGGCTTGCGCGGTCCTCGCTGTAGCCTTGGGCACATGTTATTTTTGCCCTAGCCTTGGTGACCCACCCTAGCAAGCTTCCCAGAAACAGCTTCTCTTATATTGCCCAAGGGCATGCAGGCACTTCTAGGTCCCTTCCACACCACACAGAGTCACTCAAGAAAGGTAACTCAGCCTGTCTCTGCCTGGCCTTGGCAACCCTAGGTTGTGCCAGGGCACACTGCTGAGAGGTTTTCTTCTAGGAAACCATGCAAAACGTGGGGGCAAGAACCCTTCTGCACTTAGCTTTTCCCTCTACTCATCTAACACAGCTCCCCTCTTCTGGACTCCAGAGTACCCTTGAATGTCCCTGGATTCAAAGAATAGCCCAACTTTCTCCTGACTTGATGAGACTGCCTTATATACAGCTGTGGTCCTGTCTTCTAGTCCTGGCTCTTAGTATGTTAACCAGTGGAGATGATCTGAAATCTTTACCCATTCTCTCTCAACAAGGTTTAGTTTTGAAGACAAATGTCTCAACTAAGTAGGTGAAAAAAAACAATGTGAGACTCAAAGCCAGGCCACCTCAGTCTCCTTGATGACAGGAATTCTCACCTTCTCCCTCCTTGGGGAATGACCTCAGGGCTCCATCTCTGAGTCATCTGAAGCAGCAGCTGCCTTTGTATCTTCACATCTTTAAATTATCTCATCTATTGGAAAAATGTAAAGTTAGCTTGCAAATTTTGTTATGACTTACATCAGTAACTTCTGTAAATATAGTAAGGATATATTGAAAAATAAAGATTGATTTAGAACTATTTTATATGATCATTTGTTTTGATAAGCGCACAGTTCTGACCCACAATGTACTTGAAATGATTTTCTCCTACACTGTGTAGTTCTTGTTTTCTAGGAGATAAACATGTAAATATACAAATGGAATGTAATCGGATTCATTGCAAAGAAACTTTTTTCATGTAAACAAACGACTTCCGAAGAAAGAATAGGAAACATTTCCTCTTCATCTGTACTTCTCTTTCTTTGCCCAGATGTAGATGGTGCTTATTTCACAATCTAAGGAAACTGTGAAAAATTGAAATCTCTATCTCATGAGATTGTGGTTCACTTTTTAAAAATATAGTAGCATTAAATAAATTATTCTGATATTGTTATATGTGTTTTGTAATGCTTCTAACAATTAACAGAAGGCTGTATTTTACATAAGCCTTACGTGAATGAAAGTGTTTGCTTAGGGAAATAATTGACATAGAAATAACAAACAGTTTATAATCAATTGCATATAATCATTTCAATGAAGTATACTGTTGTTATAAAAGCAATTCCATTGAATCAGCTCTTTCTCATATAGATTATACAAATGAACAACAATTTGGAAATGGTAAGGTAAGAAAGACAGTCAACAGAGAGGTTTTCATTGTCATTTTCCTTAACTGCCTTAATTTAAAATGGTCTCACTTTCATTAATATTCCCTTTAAAAAAATTGCTAAAATTTAGAAAGCCACAGGCTCTGAGTAACAAAAATAATACTTAAAAAATTTTCCACGTGGTAAAGTGCTTTTAAAAATCATTTAATTTTAAATAATGCTTTCTAATGACCATAAAATGCTGAGCACCATGAGCTCTGTATGCTGAAGACATAGTTCTTGCTTCTAGTTTATAATCTATGCCTTCTTTTTTTTTTGTTTTGGCAAAGGACCCTTGTTTCTGCTATGTGATTCCCTTGTTCTTCCTTCTTCACTACTGAGATAGCATAAAAACTAAGCATGCAAAATAACTGATAAGGTATGTAAAAAGAAAGTTGACTGGGAAACAGGAATAAATGACATTTCATTCTCAAATGGGCAAATTTTAATTTAAAAGGATCATCTAAACAATTCCACTTGTAAACTGGCTGTTGTTGGGATTATTTCCTTTAGTATCAAGATCGCAAGATAAAAACTTCTCTGGGGAATTTGAATCTAGGCTTCTGGAATTAAACTTCTGGAATTGAATGCATTTTTATTATGTGGATATTAATTGTTATGGAATTTGTTTCCAAAAATGATTGCATTTCTCCAAATAAAAACATTCCCCACAAAGCATGATTATGGAAAATGGGAACTGCAATTATTATGCTCTTATGGCTCAATAAAATGTTGAGCTCTTTTGCTGAGCGTCATTATGTTCATGGGTAACATATTTTCACTGTCATTAGAACACTTGCAAAATTAGGCTAGAATTACTCCATTGACTGCTATTAGCCAAAGCTCCAGGATCCAGTGCCAAAAATAAATCCTTCTAATAATAGACTTTAACAGTTGTACAAAGCAGGCTTTTAAATACTGGTTTCTGGAAACTAAATATTACTTGCTGTAACAAAGGGCCTATCACGCTTAGATATCTAGCCCAGCCTAGTTATATAGACAGATTTCCTTTTAATAATATGATAATGTTTACAGAAGTAGCATAATGACACTACTGATAACATTTTTTTCTCTGTTTAAACTCTTTTTTTGGTAAAGAGACTCTAGTTTTATAAATATTATCCTATTCACACCCCAAATACCCAGATATTTTACAAAGCAGTAATAGCATTTGAACAAATCCTGAAAAGATACAATAATTGCATTTCATACACTCTGGATCATTGACAAAATCAGAAGTGAACCCTGGGATCTCTCTGACTCTTGACGTGAGCAGTTCTCTTTTTCAAAGCAATCTCAGATGTCATTGTTTTATAACTAAATAATGAATCACTTTTATGAGTGTCGCATGGCATGAAATATCTTTTCTTTTCTTTCCTTTTTTTTTTTTTTTTTGAGATGATGTCTCGCTCTGTTTCCCAGGCTGGCGTGCAGTGGCGTGATCTTGGCTCACTGCAACCTCCGCCTCCCAGATTCAAGTGATTCTCCTGCTTCAGCCTCCCAAGTAGCTGGGATTACAGGCATGCGCCACCACATCCAGCTAATTTTTGTATTTTTAGTAGAGGCGGGGTTTCTGCGTGTTGGCCAAGCTGGTCTCCAACTCCTGACCTCGGGTGATCCGCACACCTTGGCCTCCCAAAGTACTGGGATTACAGGCGTGAGCCACCGTGCCCGGCCATCTTTTTTAAAGTTGTGATAAGTATATATAACATAAAATTTACCATCTTAATCATTTTTAAGTGTGCAGTTCAGTAGTAAACACATTCACATTGTTACACAGCAGATACCCAGAACTCTTTTTATCTTGCAAAACTGAAACTCTATGCTCATTGAACAACAACTCCCTTTCCCTCTCCCCACCAGGCCCTGGTACCCGCCATTTTACTTTCTATAAGCTCTACAAATTTGACCACCGTAGGTACCTCATGTAAGTGAATCATACAATATCTGTCCTTTTGTGACTGGCTTGTTTCAATTAGCATAATGTCATCAAGGTTCATCCATGCAGTACCATGTGTTAGAATTCCTTTCCTTTTTAAGGCCAAATAAAATTCTATTGTGTGTATATACCACATTTTATCCATTCATTCATCCACAGGTGGACATTTGTGTTGCTTCTACCTCTTGACTACTGTGACTAATGCTGCTGTGAACATGAGACATGAGTGCATAGATATCTCTTTGAGATTCTGCTTTTAATTCTTTTGGGTATATACCAGGAGCAGAATTTCTGGATCATTTTTTAAAGTTTTAATTTTTAAAAATTCTATTTTTTCATTTTTGAGGAACTGCCATGCTGTTTTCCACAGGAGCGGCATCATTTTATATTCCCACCAGCAATGCACAAGTGTTCCAATTTCTCCACATTCTCACCAACACTTGTTATTTTCTGTTGTAGTTGTTTTTAATTATAGCTATCACATTGTGCATAAGGGGGTATCTTGTTGTGGTTTTGATTTACACTTCCCTCATGATTAGGGATGTGGGGCATCTTTTCACCTGCTCATTGGCCATTTGTATATCTTCTTTGGAGAAATAGCTTTCAAGTCCTTTGCCCATTTTAAGATCAGGTTGCATTGTAGGCAAAACCTGAGTCCTGTCCTCTCGCTCTCCTCCCGGACAGCATGAGCTTCACCACTCGTTCCACCTTCTCCACCAACTACCGGTCCCTGGGCTCCACCCAGCTGCTCAGCTACGGTGCCCAGCCGATCAGAACCGTGTCCAGTGTCTATGCAGGGGCCGAGGCTTCTGGTTCCCGGATCTCCGTGTCTTGCTCCACCAGCTTCCGGGACGGCTTGGGGTTCAGTGGCCTGGCCATGGGGATGGGCGGGGGTCTGGCAGGAATGGGGGGCATCCAGAATGAGAAGAAGACCATGCAAAGCCTGAATGACTGCCTGGCCTCCTACGTGGACAGGGTGAGGAGCATGGAGACTAAGAATTGGAGGCTGGAGAACAAAATCTGGGAGCACCTGGAGAACAACGGGCCCCAGGTCAGAGTCTGGGACATTACTTCAAGACCATTGAGGACCTGAGGGCTCAGATCTTTGCAAATACTGTGGACAATTCTAGCATCGCTCTGCAGACTGACAACACTCATCTTGCTGCTGATGACCTTAGAGTCAGGTATGAGACAGAGCTGGCCATGTGCCAGTCTGTGGAAAGCAACATCCGTGGGCTCTGCAAGGTCATTGATGACACCAATGTCACTCAGCTGCAGCTGGAGACAGAGATTGAGGCTTTCAAGGAGGAGTTGCTCTTCGGGAAGAAGAACCATGAAGAGGAAGTAAAAAGCCTACAAGCCCAGATTGCCAGCTCTGGGTTGACTGTGGAGGTAGATGCCCCCAAATCTCAGGACCTCAGCAAGATCATGGCAGACAACCAGGCCCAATACAATGAGCTGTCTCGAAAGAACTGAGAGGAACTAGACAAGTACTGGTCCCAGCAGATTGAGGAGAGCACCACAGTGGTTACTGTGCAGTCCTCCAAGATCAGAGCTGCTGAGATGACGTTCACAGGGCTGAGATGTACAGTCCAGTCCTTGGAGATCGACCTGGACTAGATGAGAAATCTGAAGGCTAGCTTGAAGAACAGCCTGAGGGAGGTAGAGGCCCGCTACACCATGCAGCTTGATAAGGTCCTGATGCACCTGGAGGTGGTCCTGCTGCATCCCAGGCAGAGGGACAGCATCAGGCCCAGGAGTATGAGGCCCTGCTGAACATCAAGATCAAGCTGGAGGCTGAGATCGCCACCTACCATGGCCTGCTGGATGACGGGGAGGACTTCAATCTTGGTGATGCCCTGGACAACAGCAACTCCATGCAAACCATCCAAAAGACCACCACCCGCAAGATAGTGGACAGCAAAGTGGTGTCTGAGATCAATGAGACGAGAGTTCTGAGACATTAAGCCAGCAGAAGCAAGGTACCTTTTGGGAGCAGGAGGCCAATAAAAAGTTCAGGGGTCAAAAATACAAAATAAAATCAAGTTGCTTGCTTTTTTGTTGTTGTTGAATTGCAGAAGTTCTTTGTATATTCTGGATATTAACCACTTATCAGATATATGATTTGCAAATATTTTTTCCCATTCTATAGGCAGGATTGAAGCCTGGGCAAAAGAGTGAGTCCTTGTATAAAAAAAAAATAACTTGGCATGGTGGCACATGCCTGTGGTCTCAGCTACTCAGGAGGCTGGGGTGGAAGATTGCCTAGGCCTGGGGGTCAAGGCTGCAGTGAGCCATGATGGCACCACTGCATTCCAGCCTGGGAAACAGAACAAGACCCTGTCTCACCAAAAAAGAAAAAGAAAAAAAGTTTGGTCTTTGCCAAGACCAGAATGAGTCCAAGTTTATCTTCAAGAAACTGAAAGCTACTTGAAAGCATCAATCATTGAACCTTTTTCTAAGCTGGTTGCTTATACCTTTGAGGGATGACTTAGGATCAACAGTACTAAAGTTGGCAAAATAGAATTTGAGTTAGCTGCAAAATATCCCGCATCAGACATCAGTGCTAAATTTATTGCTGTGTCCATGTAGAAAATGGTTCAATGCTTGAGGAGCTCCATTAAGATCAAGGAGATACGCACTGTCATCTCTAACCATGAAAACATTTTCAATGCCCTTCATTCCTTTGAGTAGATCCAGATTTCTATGTGGTATCATTTTCTTTTGGTTGAAGGAATTTCTTTAATATTTCATGTAATGCAGGCCTGCTTGTGGGGAATTCTTTCAGTTTTTATCTGTCTGAAAAAAATATCCGTTTTTCCTTTATATTAGAAAGATATTTTCACTTGGTGTAGAAGCCTAAATTGACAGGATTTTTTCCCAGTACTTTAAAGGTATTGTTTGGCTGGGCTTATGCCTGTTATGCCAGCATTTTGGAAGGCTGAGGCAGGAGGATCACTTGATCTCAAGAGCTCAAGACCAGCCTAGGCAACATAGCAAAACCCTATATCTTAAAAAAATAAAATAAAATTTAAAATTAGCTGAATGTGGTGGTGTGTGTCTGTTGTCTTAGCTACTTGGGAGGCTGAGCTGGGAGGATCACTTGAGTCCAAAATGTCAAGGTGTCAGTGAACCATGATTGCACCATTGCACTCCAACCTGGGCAATGGAGTGAGATCCTGTCTCAAAAATTAAAAAACAAAAAACAAAATAAAGGTATAATTCCACTGTTTCTTGCTTCATTGTTTCTAGCAAGAAGTCTGCTGTCATTCTTATCTTTGGTTCACTGTAGATAATGTGTCTTTTTATTCCTCTAGTTGCTTTTAAGATTTTTTAAATTTATCACTGGCGTTAGGCAATTTGATTATAATATGCACTATTTAGTTTTTTTGTGTGTGCTTTTTGTATCTGGGGCTCATTGAACTTCTTGGTTCTGTAGGTTTATGGTTGTCCTCAATCTTCAAAAAAATTTGGCCATTCCTCTATCAAGTAATTTGTATTCCTCCTTTTTCCTTTAGGGACTTCAATTACACATATTTAGCTCAGTTGAAGTTATCTCACAGCTAGCTAATGTCTTCTTCTTTTTTAAAAACCTTTTTGGCTGGGCGTGGTGGCTCACGCCTATAATCCTAGCACTTTGGGATGCTGAGGTGGGCGGATCACCTGAGGTCGGGATTTCAAGACCAGCCTGACCAACATGGAGAAACCCTGTCTCTACTAAAAATACAAAATTAGCTGAGTGTGGTGGCGCATGCCTGTAATCGCAGCTACTCCAGAGGCTGAGGCAGGAGAATTGCTTGAACCCAGGAGGCAGAAGTTGCAGTGAGCCAAGGTCGTGCCACTGCACTCCAGCGTGGGCAACAGGAGCAAAACTCCATCTTGAAAACAAAAACAAAAACAAAAAACAACTTTTTTTCTCTCCTATATATTTTTACATACTTCCCTTAAAAAAGCATTTCTATCTTAAATGTGGTACCAAATGTGCAAAACAGAACATCACCCTTACTTGCTCTGGTGATGTGAAGAAAGCATTCAAACTACAGCATAGGCATCTGTATATAAGGTGGAGCTGGGAAGGGTAATGGTTAAAAGCATGGGCTCTGGAGCCAGGCTAGATGGCTCACATCCTGGTTCTTTCACTTACTAGCTCTGCAATCTTAGCCTCTTTCTGCTTAGCTACTCATCTCTAATATGGAGATGGTATTAGTACCTGCCTCTTAAAATTATGGCAAGGATCTCAGTTTATACATAAAAAGAACTTCGAACTGTGACGGATGCATGGTAGACACTCAGTAATCATCAGCTATTATCACTGCATTTTACAATTGCCTTAGCAAGAAGCCCAAATTAACTGAACTAGACTCTCCAGAGAAGGGGTCTGGGGATCTATATTTTTAACAAGTATTCTAGCTAATTCTTATATTCATGCAACTTTAGAAATGCTGACCCAAATAATATCGCTAAAGATTGGATAAAATAAATTAAGGAGCTCACCCTCTCTGTAGAAGTCTTTTCTCACCTGCACTGCAAGGAAAGAAAAATCATGAGTTTTCATTGTATGCAGTAGTTGTGCCACACCCTTTGAGACATATAGGAAGTCATTGTCGCAAATATTTTCCTTTCTTTGAAAGCAACAAAATAAGTAACAAATTATGAACAAACACTAAGTTCAATAAGTGAGACAGAAAATCATGTCTTCACAAAGAACTTTCCTTAATCATCACCCCCTGAAAATAGCTTTTCTATGAATCCCAAATAATAAAAGGAAGGATAGAGGGCATTACTCCTAGGATCCTCTCCCCACCCTTCCCCACACCCTCAGCAGCCTCCCAGCGAGTCTGGAGATATATATACAGCTAACATTCCTTGTCACCAACACTTAATCAGTAATCAAATTGTTACGACACACCAAACATCTCACATGCACCATATTATGTTATCTTTATAATAATCCTCTGAGGTAGCCACTATTATTTGCTTCATTCTAGAAATGGAAACTGAAGCTCAAGAGGTCAGGATCCTAGTAGAGGCAGAGCCAGAATTTGAACCCAGGCCTATTTGACTTGAAATTTAAGTGTGTAACCACTATTCTATTCTACCACTTCCAATGGTATGGTCCTCAGTCATCCACACTCATTTTACCCCCCAAGGTAAGCAGTTTGCTTGGGTTTCTAAGACAGTGCATAGCTTGGCCTTTATTAAAACTTTTCAAATAACAAGTTTCAACTAATTGGTATTCCAGTCCCTTCTAAATCTGGCCCCTGAATACCTCATCCTAACGTTTCCACTCCTCGTTAGTGTGAACTTTGTTGCCCTTTCTGCACACAGACCTTGCACATTCTTGACTCTGGGCCCTGCTTCCTCTCAGTTCCTCTGGAAAGCTTTCCCTCTTTCTCACCCAAGTTCCACCCTTCCTTCATGCCTTAGCTCCAATTCTACTGATTATGAAAGCTTCTCTGAGTTTCTCAGTAATTTCTCTTATCACTTTATTATACTTACAGCTTTAATCGACAAGATGCACCCCTTAATGAAATATTATTTTGTACTGATCTTTTACTGTTGTCACATGTTATTCTTAATTTCCCAATTAGAATGTATTGGAAATGTGGCAATGTAGAATGTAAGGAAAATGTTCATGTCTTATACTGCTGGAATATCCTCCCCATATATATGCATACATCCAAAAGTACTTATTGAGACCCTACGTGTTGGGCTGTGCTGGGCATTAGGGATAAGCCTGTAAAAATCTTTGCAAAGGAACAAGACACAAGGTTATTTTTGCCTCCTTCAATGGTAAGGCACTTAATAGGTATTACAAATAATTAATTAGATTAAGTTTGGGGATATAGCATATAAAAAGAACCACATAATTTCGGAACTAGAAGAGATCTCAGACCAGGGATTTTCACTAGGGATGAGGTGCCTCCTTGGGTATTTTAGAAACCTATGGGGGTTGGGAGATAGAAGCGGGCGGATCACGAGGTCAGGAGATTGAGACCATCCCGGCCAACATGGTGAAACCCCGTTTCTACTAAAAATACAAAAAATTAGCTGGGCATGGTGGCGGGAGCCTGTAGTCCCAGCTACTCAGGAGGCTGAGGCAGGAGAATTACTTGAACCCGGGAGACAGAGGTTGTGGTGAGCCGAGATCGTGCCACTGCACTCCAGCCTGGGCGACAGAGTAAAACTCCATCTCAAAAAAAAAAAAAAAAAGAAAAAGAAAAAAAAGAAAGAAACCTACGGAGGGTTTCTGGTTGGTTGGTTGTTTGGGGAATGTTATGGGATTTGATGGGTGGTTCCAGGGATAAAGTATGTCTTGTAGTATGTGGACTGCCCTGCTCAACGAAGAACTGTATTGCCTCACACAAAATTTTAAGATGATTTTCTGGGAATTCATGGAGATAAATTAGAATTAGCAGAGCTTAGAATTGAACTCCACTTTACATGAAACACAGAGCTTTCTCTTGTGTGATTTTAGTATACATTGAATTATCAGGTATTCAATTCTGATATAAGTTCAGGGGAAATTGATTTTTTCCTTTCCAAACTTTTTTTTTTTTTTGAGACGGAGTCTCACTCTGTCGCCCAGGCTGGAGTGCAGTGGCGAGATCTCGGCTCACTGCAAGCTCCGCCCCCCGGGGTTCACGCCATTCTCCTGCCTCAGCCTTCTGAGTAGCTGGGACTACAGGTGCCCGCCACCACGCCCGGCTAATTTTTTGTATTTTCAGTGGAGACGGGGTTTCACCGTGTTAGCCAGGATGGTCTTGATCTCCTGACCTCGTGATCCGCCCACCTCGGCCTCCCAGAGTGCTGGGATTACAGGCGTGAGCCACCGCGCCCGGCCGATTGTTCCAAACTTTACTAAGAGTTGTTCATTGCAAAAACATCACATCAGGAAGAGCAATGCCATTTATGCTATTTGAGTCACCACATAGACACATCACATCATTCTATGTTCCTAGACATTCTATGGCTCTCTCTATCTAAAACCTCACAATATACTACTGTGAAATATATAATAACTTAATTCTGATTTCAAAATGTTAAATATTTTAAAAGTCAAAAATATTGCATTGGCCAGGCATGGTGGTTCATGCCTCTAATCTCAGCACTTTGGGAGGCTGAAGCTGAAGGAGTCCTTGAGCCCAGAAATTAAAGACCAGCCTGGGCAACATGGTGAGACCCCAGTCTCTACAAAAAATTTAAAAATTAGCCAGGTATAGTGGTGCACACCTTAGTCCTAGCTACTCAGGAGGCTGAGGCAGGACAATCACCTGAGCCCAGGAGGTGGAGGCCGCAGTGAGCCATGTGTATGCCATTGCATTCTAGCCTGGGTGACAGACCAAGACTGTCTCAAAAAAAAAAAAAAATATATATATATATATATATATATGTTCCACTGAATATAAATTAAAATATTTTGTCATATTAAATATAATTTAAATATATTGAAATGTAATAAAATAGTAAAGTAATATATATAAATTAAATCAAACATATTAAATATAAGCAGGCACAAGTGGCTGGCTTTTCTGTCTTTCTGTGTAGTTGTGCTGGAATATTTGCATATTAAAATGCATGACTTTTTTTAGATTACTTTCATTAGTTTTCTCCTTCATATTACAGTCAGGGCATTATATTGATGTATTTTTTTTTTCTGCTCTGTCACCCAAGCTGGAGTGCAGTGGTGTGATCTTGGCTCACTGCTTCCTCTCCTTCCTGGGTTCAAGGGGTTCTCCTGCCTCAGCCTCCTGAGTACCTGGGATTACAAGCGTGTGCCACCATGCCCAGCTAATTTTTGTATTTTTAGTAGAGATGGGTTTTCACCAGGTTGGCCAGGCTGGTCTCGAACTCCTGACCTCCAGTAATCCACCTGCCTCACCCTCCCAAAGTGCTGGAATTACAGGCTTGAGCCACTGCGCCCGGCCTATATTGATCTTTGAAAGACTTTTTTAAAAAGTAGTTTTAGATCCAAAACAACAATGAAAGAAGGGTACAGAGATTTCCTTCCCATATGCCCCAGGTCCCCTACATACATAGCCCCCCTCATTATCAACACCGCCCCCCTCACCACACACAAGAGTAGTACGTTTGTCACAACTGATGAACCTAAATTGTCACAGTGTAATCACCCAAAGTCCATAGTTTGCATTAGGTTTAACTCTTGATCTTGTACATCCTGTGGATTTAGACAAATGTATAATGACATGTATCCACCATTATAGTATCATACTGGGCATTTTGGCTACCCTAAATGTCCTCTGATTTTTTGGAGGTGTGCAGACAAGTTATATTTTCTATAAATTCTTCTTCAGGATGTTAAGGAGATGCTGCCAAACGTTTGTTATTAGAATAGGGCCCTGGGTCCCCCTTGGGTAAGAACCACTGCAGTAGGATCAAGCCTGACCTGAAGTCATCAGAGTATGCTTACCTCTGCTACAACCCTTGTTTCAATGCAGTGTTTTTTTTTTTTTTTTTTTTTTCTTACCTTCATGCCCTCCTTGAGAGTGTTGGTGACCCCGGGCAGAGTCTGTGATCTCTTTTCTTTTTTTTTTTTTTTTAGACAGCGTCTCACTCTGTTGCCCCTGCTAGAGTACAGTGGCGTGATCTCGGCTCACTGCAACCTCCGCCTCCCGGGTTCAAGTGATTCTCCTGCTTCAGCCTCCTGAGTAGCTGGGACTACAGGCACGCGCCACCACGTCTGGCTAATTTTTGTATTTATAGTAGAGATGGGGTTTCACCATATTGGCCAGGCTGGTCTCGAACTCCTGACCTTGTGATCCACCCACCTCAGCCTCCCAAAGTGCTGGGATTACAGGCGTGAGTCACCGCACCCGGCTGAGTCTGTGATCTCTTGAATCTCCAAGTGCCACCTGCAGTACCAGGCATGCTGAAGTGAAATGGCACCATGAGTGATGAGACGGATGCTGAAATAGTGACTGCAAAGTGCAATAAAAATATTGGGCAAAGAAAGAGAGAGCTTGCCTTACCTCTGGCTTACAATGTAATTTTAAAGATACTCATAAGGATGTTATCTGGAAAGGATAATAATAACAAAAGAAATAATGCCTTTGGCGTGGGTTCAGTCCTAGGAACTAGAGTTCAGGCTAAACTTTCATGCTTCCTGTCCTTTCCACGCGTGTCAGAATTATATTCAGAATGGAGGTTTTAAAACTCATCTCCTGAAGGGAGATTCTAATACTTTGTGGGTTTCGGTTAAGGTTTAGGACACAATGAGAGATGAAATGCTTGAAAATATATCTGGGAAGTGTTGAGGGAAGCAGCCTGGCACTTACATTCAGCAAGCACACCACCAGTCCCATCCCCACCCCAGCACACACAGACACACACAGGAGTCACCATTTTGCACAAAAACTGTGTTTTCATTTCTTTGTAGTGTCCCCTTCTTAGGTCTCTGATCAAAAATGCAAAAGAGATTCACAAAAACAAATAATAATAATATGTCCTCAACTTTTAACAGAACAAAATCTCCCTCGATGTAACAGAAATAAACCCTGATCAAAGTTATGTGCTTCATGCTACACACTATGGCTAGAAACTCAGGCTCTCTTGATTGGAGAAAGAAACATGCTTCAGAGAGAAAGACAGGTTCCAGCTGGTTCAACATGCTTCAGAGAGAAAGACAAGAAGTGTGATTTCCTTCAGTTCGCCTATGTAGGGAGAGCCCTGGGGAGACGGGCAACCAGGCACCAGCCACATGAACCAAAACCAGTCAAGAAGGGAAATCAGGTCAGGCATGGTGGCTCATGCCTGTAAGCCCAGCACTTTGGGAGGCCGAGGCGGGCGGATCACCTGAGGTCAGGAGTTCCAGACCAGTCTGGGCAACATGGTGAAACTGGTCTCTAGTAAAAATACAAAAATTAGCTGGGCGTGGTGGCATGTGCCTGTAATCCCAGCTACTCAGGAGGCAGAGGCAGGAGAATCACTTGAACCCAGGAGGCAGAGGTTGCAGTGAGCCGAGATTGCACCACTGCACTCCATCCTGGGTGACACAGTGAGACTCAGTCTCAAAAAAAGAAAAAAAACAAAAACGAGATAAGTCAATAAAAAATACAATATGTCAATTGATTTTTTGGGATGAATTATGAATTCTTATAGGTATAACAGAAAAAGAAGTAACTTTTCTCTTCTGATCCTGGGGTTAATTGAGTAATTCTTTTATTTATTTATTTATTTATTTAGAGACAGAGTCTTGCTCTGTCACCAAGGCTGGAGTGCAGTGGTGCGGTCTCAGCTTACTGCAACCTCCACCTCCCGGGTTCAAGCGATTCTCTTACCTCAGCCTCCTGAGTAGCTAGGATTACTGGCGCCCGCCACCACACTCAACTAATTTTTGTATTTTCTTTTTACTAGAGATGGGGTTTCACTTTGTTGGCCAGGCTGGTCTCAAACTCCTGATCTCAGGCAATCCGCCTGCCTCCGCCTCCCAAAGTGCTGAGATTACAGGCGTGAGCCACTGCGCCTGGCCAATTCAGTAACCCTTATCACTAGCTTTTCCTACTTTCTATTCTCCTGCTGTTGCCTTTCTAAAGATATGCTAAGAAAAACAAAAGTGAGGTCTTATCTTTTCCATATATAAATGCAAAAAAATGGTATTTCTGACTCCACGCCTGCTTCAGAAACCATGGTAACAGCCCTTCTACCAGGAAGCTGTAGCTAGAGTTTCACCCTTTCTAGCCACGAGGAAAAGACTGCCCGTCTCAAGGCCCTCAATCAGAGAAACTCCTCTGACTTGATTCCTTCTCGCCATATCATCTGAGACACCATTCTCATTTTGTGGATGATGTTTTATTTTTGTGAAATTGATAAGCTAACCATATTATATTGGATGTGAAGAGAGGGTGATAATGAAATGTGATATAGTGACCATTGGAACAACACAGGTTTGAACTGTGTGGGTACACTTATATGCCACCCATGAGACAGCAAGACCAATCCCTCCTCCTTAGCCTATTCTCAATGTGAAGATGAGGAGGAAGAAAACCTTCATGATGATCCATTTTCCTGTAATGAATAGTAAATATATTTTCTCTTCCTTATGATTTTCTTAATAACATTTTCTCTTCTCTAGCTTACTTTATTGTGAGATGCAGTATACAGGCTGGGCACGGTGGCTCATGCCTATAATCCCAGCACTTTGGGAGGCCAAGGAGGGTGGATCACCTGAGGTCAGGTGTTCAAGACCAGCCTCTGGCCAACATGGCAAAACCCCGTCTCTACTAAAAATACAAAAATTAGGTGGGCGTGGAGGCGCATGCCTGTAATCCCAGCTACTCGGGAGGCTGAGGCGGGAGAATCACTTGGACCTGGGAGGCGGAGGTTGCAGTGAGCCGAGATCGCACCACTGCACTCCAGCGTGGGCGACAAAAGCGAGACTCCATCTCACACACACACAAAAAAAGATACAGTATACAATACATATAACGTACACAATATGTGTTAATCAACTGTTTATGTTTCTGGTAAGGCTTTCAGTCAACATTAGGCTATTAGTAGTTAAGTTTTTGGGGGAGTACAAAGTTATACATGGATTTTTGACTGTGCTGGGAGTTGGCACCCCTGACCCCCATGTTGTTCAAGGTCAACTGTAATTGGAAAATGCACCTCCATTTTAGAGTGCCAAAACACATCTGCATGTGCTACTTTGAGTTTGAAAAGAGAAAATTCTTTGCCTATAAATGCCCATGGCTACAGCCAAATGAATTATCTTTGTTCCTTCAGCAGAATAGAGCCATAGGAGGCGAGCACCTTGGGCTCCTTACTAACAATAGTAATAACAATAGCTAATTGGGTGCCGCCTCTGTATTAAGCCCTATGCCTTGTCCTTACACATTACCTCATGTGTCCATCACAACAGACCTGTGAGGCAGGTACTGTTATTACTTTCATTTTTCTGATAGATGAGGACGCTGAGGAAAAGATACATGCAGGCTTGCAGAGCTAGTGAGAGACAGAACTGGGATTTGAACCCAAGTCTGTCTGGCTTCACAAGCTTCTCACCACTCACACACTGCCTTAGCTTGGCGTTTAGTGGATAGGAGCATCAATCCCTCCCTCCCACCCTCACTCCTACCCCCCATACCCCTGGTCTGTGCCACTGGAATTTCTAGGCTTTGCTTGGTTCTCCTACCCCTGGTCCTGTCTCCTTTCTTCCAATTGAGATCTCAGCATGCAATTGTTACTGTTGTCTGCTGACTGGAATATAGCTGCCTACCCTTAGCAAGCACAAGATGAGCTTAAGTCTCTTCAAGTTTCATGCTAACGATGCCTGATACTATTTTTTTTTAGACGGAGTCTCACTCTGTCACCCAGGCTGGAATGCAGTGGTATGATCTGGGCTCACTGCAAGCTCCGCCTTCTGGGTTCACGCCATTCTCCTGCCTCAGCCTCCTGAGTAGCTGGGACTACAGGCGCTCGCCACCACGCCCGGCTAATTTTTTGTATTTTTAGTAGAGACGGGGTTTCACCATGTTAGCCAGGATGCTCTCGATCTCCTGACCTCGTGATCTGCCCGCCTCGGCCTCCCAAAGTGCTGGGATTACAGGCATGAGCCACTGCACCCAGCTGACACTATTTTTTTTTTTAGACGGAGTCTCACTCTGTCACCCAGGCTGGAATGCTGTGGCGTGATCTCAGCTCACTGCAACCTCTGCCTCCTGGGTACAAGCGATTCTATTGTCTCAGCCTCCCAAGTAGCTGGGATTACAGAGGGACACCATCACGCCCGGCTAATTTCTGTATGTTTAGTAGAGATGGGGATTCACCATGTTGGCCAGGCTGGAATGCTTGACACTCTTTAGCTAAGGAATTGTCATCCTGCCACTGTCATCATTCTAGCTCTAATACCGGAAACACTGTGATTAAGGACGCAGCCGTTGTGGCTGGAAGTCTAATTTACATATCTGAAAGGGTAAGGCTTTTTCTTTATATGCTTCTCTAGGCCAGACTCCAAACAGCAGGGATGATGGTTATGTGAAGATGTTTTTCATATAGTTGGGGCTCGTGGACACCTGTTTTGCACATCAGTGAGCCCCTCAGATTCTTGGAAAAATGGGGTAGTAAATTTGGGGAAATTACAAACTCTTGGAGCAACAAGATGAAGAATTTTGGCTGGGCAAGGTCGCTCACACCTGTAATCCCAGCACTTTGGGAGGCCGAGGCAGGTGGATTACCTGAGGTCAGGAGTTCGAGACCATCCTGGCTAACACGGTGAAACCCCATCTCTACTAAAAATACAAAAAATTAGCCAGTGTGGTGGCAGGCGCCTATAATCCCAGCTACTCGGGAGGCTGAGGCAGGAGAATGGTGTGAACCCAGAAGGCAGAGCTTGCAGTGAGCTGAGATTGCACCACTGTACTCCAGCCTGGCCAAAATGGTGAAACCCCTTCTCTACTAAAAATACAAAAATTAGCCAGGTATGGTGGTGCATGCCTGTAATCCCAGCTATTTGGGAGGCTGAGGTAGGAGAGTCTCTTGAACCCAGGAGGCGGAGGTTGCAGTGAGCTGAGATCGTGCCAGGCTGGGCGACAAGAACAAGATGCCATCTAAAAAAAAAAAAAAAAAAAAAAAAAGAAGAAGAAGAATTTCAGACAAAAATGTGATGAAGGCTACCCCCAATTTAGGGTGACTGGGGTACCTTGAAGCAGAGACATAACATGTCTTGAAAACCAAAAGGAAAATTAGTCTCATCCTGGGAGAAGAGCTCCAGGGCAAGACGGAAGAAATACTCTATTCTCTGCCCATATTTTTCTAGATCCCATATCCCAACTTCCTCAAAAGAGCAGCCTATCTTTTGAAAGGGGCCCAAGGAATATAATTGCCAGTATAAGGCTAGGCCACTGATGTTCGCTGGCAAGGGAAAACCTCTTCTTTGGGTTTAAGGACTATTGCAGTGAAAAGAAGAGAGAGCTGAGAACACTACTATAATGACAGGAAAGTAGCAGCCACAAACCAGGCCACCAAGAGCCAAAAAGCCAACATTAACCACAGCAGTGTTGAGAAAGCTTCAGGAGCAAGAGTGGGAGGGTGATGTTGGTGCCAACAGGCAAAGAAAGGGAGCTTGGGGCCTTGTAGCCCAGTGCCTTCCTGGGAAGACAGGGGGTTCAAACGAATGCAATTGTCCCTGAGGATAGAGAGGCCTTGGGAAGGAAGGGCCACCCAGTGTTAGGGGTTGAGTTGTACCTCCTTTCCTCATTCATATGGGGAAGTCCTAAGACCCAACACCTCAGAATATGGCCTTATTTGGAGATGGAGTACGTGGAACATGAAAGATGGCCAGCAACAACGACATTTCCCCAACAGCTCTCAGAAGGAACCAACCCCAACACAACCTCGATCTCACACTTCTAGCCCCAGAATGTGAGACAACAGACCTCTGTTGTTTAAGCCATTCTATTTGTGGTTATGGCAGCCCCAGAAAATGAATACACCTGGAAAAGCCCTCAGAGCTCGAGGTATTAGAATGTTTTAGTTGCAATGTCAGAGGACAAAAGCGATGGTGGCCGTCATGATCACAATGAGATTATGCCCCTTAAATTGTGGGCCAGGCGCAGTGGCTCACTCCTGTAATCCTAGCATTTTGGGAGGCCGAGGCAGGCGGATCATGAGGTCAGGAGATCAAGACCATCTTGGCCAACATGGTGAAATCCTGTCTCTACTAAAAATACAAAAAATTAGCTGGGCATGGTGGTGTGAGCCTGCAATCCCAGCTACTCAGGAGGCTGAGGCAGGAGAATCGCTTGAACCAAGGAGGCGGAGGTTGCAGTGAGCTGAGATCACGCCATTGGACTCCAGCCTGGCAACAAAACAAGACTCTGTCTCAAAAATAAACAAATAAATAAATAAATAAAAAATAAATAAATAAATTGTGTTCACTCTCTAGGCTGTGTTCTGATGAACAGCTGGGATGTCCTCCCCACCCAACCCTATGAAATACTATATGCACAAATATTCATTCAGTGGACACTTAAAGACAACTACTATGTGCCCAGCAACTTTTAAGATTAAAAAAACAGGACAAGGGCCGGGCGCAGTGGCTCACGCATGTAATCCCAGCACTTTGGGAGGCCAAGGCAGGTGGATCTCCTGAGGTCAGGAGTTCAAGACCAGCCTGGCCAATATAGTGAAATCCCATCTCTACTAAAAATACAAAAAAAATTTAGCTAGGCGAGGTGGTGGGCACCTGTAATCCCAGCTACTCGGGAGACTGAGGCGGGAGAATCACTTGGACCTGGGAGGCGGAGGTTGCAGTGAGCCAAGATCGCGCCAATGCACTCCAGCCTGGGCAACAAGAGCGAAACTCTGTCTCAAAAAAAAAAATAAATACAATAAAAATAAAGAAAGATAAAATTTTGTTTAAAAACTCAGTCACAGCTGGGCACGGTGGCTCACGCCTGTAATCCCAGCACTTTGGGAGGCCGAGGTGGGTGGATCACTTGAGGTCAGGAGTTTGAGACCAGCCGGGCCAACATGGTGAAACCCTGTCTCTACTAAAAATAAAAATAATTAGCTGGGCATGGTGGCACATGCCTGTAATCTCAGCTACCCGGGAGGCTGAGGCAGGAGAATTGCTTGAACCTGGGAGGTGGAGGTTGCAGTGAGCCGAGGTCACGCCACGGCACTCCAGCCTGGGCGACAGAGTGAGACTCCGTCTCAAAAAAACGAACAAACAAAACCCCTAAAAACAACAACAACAACAACAACAACAAAAACTCAGCCACCTCCTTTTGTATATATATTTCACTGAAAAGAGTCATTGAACCTGATCCCCAGCATTGCTGCCTTGGCCCGTCCTCTAGATGTAAGGTGGGGTCCAGAGGAGGATGTGCCTTAGCAGATATTAGGAAACAGGGCACACAACAAGGTTTCATTTCTTTCAACAACACCTTATGGCTCCTGTATGAAATATTTAATTGAGAGCACTAAATGCTATAGGATTTCCCTTTCAGCAGTGGAAATCCTGCATAAGTCAATCATGAAGGTCATTACGGCCGCCTTTCCCTTTTTCTTGGCTTTTTCTCAGAGGCGAGATTGCAGCAGCAATTCATGGGTCCCTTCAAACTAATTTTGTTACTGGATTCCACTACAGCATTTGGAATTCTTGATTCTGAGAAACATTTTCTCTAGTGTGTGCCTTAGGAATACAAAGGAGGATGGCTGTTGGGCATAATAAGCCTTTAGAAAAATCTCTTATTATGAATAATTCCAGACATATACCAAAGGAGACAGAATGGAACAATAACCCTGAATGTACAAATTATGTAGCTACAACAATCAGAAAATTGTGCCCACTCTTGTTTCACCTATACCTTCTAAGACTACAAAAGGTACACCTTTCACCTTCCCCACACTGGAGTATATAGAAGCCAGTGACAGCAATGGTATTCTTTCATCCATAAATATTCTAGTAAGTGTTTCTAAAAGAGAAAGACATCAAAAAATTACCATAAAATTATGACCTAAAACTTTAACAATGTTTAATATTATCTGTTATCTGTAATCCCAGCGCTTTGGGAGGCGAGGTAGGTGGATCACCTGAGGTCAGGAGTTTGAGACCTAGCCTGGCCTACGTGGTGAAACCCCATACTCTACTAAAAATACAAAAATTAGCCGGGCGTGGTGGCATACGCCTGTAATCCCAGCCACTTGGGAGGCTGAGGCATGAGAGTTGCTTGAACCCGGGAGGCGGAGGTTGCAGTGAGCCGAGACTGCACCACTGCACTTCAGCCTGGGGGACAGAGTGAGACTTGGTCTCAAATAATAATAGTAATAATAATTACCTGTTATCCAGTGTTCAGATTTCCCTGACTGTCTTATAATTTTTTAAAAATTTGGTTTGTTTGAATGAGAATCCAAAAAAGGTCCACAAGCTGCATTTGGCTTACATGTCTTGAGTTTCTTTTAAGCTATAGGTTTTTTTCCTGCTTCTTTTGTCTTGAAATACATTTGCTTAATAAACAGATTATCTTTCCAGTTGAGCCTGCCACAGTCTGGTTTGGCTTATTGTACTCCATGGTGTTCCACAGGCCTCTGTATTTCCTAAAACTTGGTTATGAGATTTAGATGCTTGGTCTGATTCAGGTTTGAGTTTTTGGCAGAACAGTCTCATAGGTGGTGTTGGATCTTCCATCAGGAGGCACGTCATCTTCAGTTATTTCTCTTCTTGTGATGTTAGTGGCTACTGAAAGTCATAGCCTGTATCTTATTTAATTTGAGATTTGCCAGATGATGATATTCTATTATTCTTTGAGTATGTATGTGTGTGGAGAGGGAGTGAGGGAGAGGGAGTGAAATTTCCCTCATTAAGTATTTGGTATCCTAGGGTACAGCTCACACTAGAAAGTCAGGTTTCATGCTTGATTCTTTTCAGAATAATTAATTGGTTTATTAACATCCTTTAAAGATGACCAATGTGTTTATTTTAAAAATATTATTATGAATGTATCAATTTTAAATTTATTTAATATGTTTCAATCCATTGTATTAATGCTCAAATTATGCTGTCTTTGGCCACTTGGAGCTGTTTCAAGTTGGTTCTTGTGTCTCAGAAATAAGCTTTTTAATTGCTTCTGGGAAAAGGACATAGAAACCTTTTCCAGAACTTTTGCTCATAGAACAGTGGTATCCAAACTTTTTTGATTGGGAACTCTCATCAGAAAATATTTTTATACATGAATATCCTTTATATATTTTTAAACTTTATATATTTATGCACATGAACTGTGATTAAATGTGCTATGTATGTGATAAAACGCCCCCAAATAGAAATCTTAAATGATGAAATAAACAATGTTTTAGAAATGGTAGCCACGTAGGCGGTCACTGGATACAGCTCTCTCAACCAACACAAGAGAGTGGGGGCAGAATCTCAGCAATGGAAGAGACCCCCACCCCCCAGCCCCCGCAACTTTGCCTGGTGAGGAGCCAGGCATCATAGAAGAGACCGGTCTTTTGGCCTCTAGCACTGGGTCCTGGAGCGCCCAGCCTGGTTTCCTGCCAAGAGTTTGGCATGAGCACAGCAGAGATTCCTAAAGTGTCCTGGCCCCAGACCAGGTCCTTTCAACATCCAACAATCTGGTGAGCAGGCCCAAGTCGGGTAATGATTGTTCAGGAGACGAGGCACACAGGCTGGCCTCATAGGTGGGGAAATAGAATCATATACATCTTCTCTCTGAGAAGGAAACACCTGAAGTTAGAAAAGTGCAGCTTTTTAAAGAAGGGAGTCAGCTTTAATTTAGAAGAATTAATAAGGCAAATTTCTGAAAGTGCTTTTTCATCTATGCTAATAAACTAAGCTAAAGGATAAGCATGTTTATAACTTAGGGACTAAAGGATCTAAGTGATCTGGTTGAGACAATCTCTCAAAGACTCAAGTAAAGATTTTGCTCCATTACAAGTGGCAGATTTCCTCTGTTGTGTTTCTATGACTTTCACTTTAAAACATGAGGAAAATTGTCAAGTTGTTCTGATATCCACCTAAATTGCAAAGTTTTGTGCTTGCCAATAACTCTGAAATATGTTTAGAAAATTATGAAACATCAGAGAGGCTGGTATGAGACGTAATGGTGGTTTTTGCAAGAAACCTGTCATTATCTCTCTAATGTATGCAAACATAAAAATCAACTCTGATGTTTCCAACAAAAAAGTCTTTTGTTCTTGAAAACAATAAAAAATCAGAAGGCATTTCGCTTTCGAACTGGTGATGACAATTCCCTGCTTCTCTTTTGTAAATGTTTAAAAAGCAAATTTGAATAAAACCAAAATTTCTCTTCTGACAATTTCTAAGTTTAAACATGCAAACTTTCATCATTTGAATTTGCAATTGTATTACAGAAAGTTAAGAGCTGGAGGAAACTTAGTGGATAATCTTTAAGAGAAAGTAGAAAATTCTAAATGGTTCATCATCTGAAATTTTACCCTCAGGTAGTCATTTATTTGAATCAAGCACCGTTGACCCTATAAGAATGCAAATAGGCCTGGGAAGCAGAGCATCTTGTTGACAACGTTCTGTGTGAATTAGTAGTGTTTCTCCCCTGATTGGAAGGACCCAGGCAGGGACACTTTGCAACTTTTGGGTGACAGCCTCTTGAAATGATAGGAAATCATCTCAACTACCAATGTTATTTCTATGCTAGCATCTAAGCCCTGTTTTTGTGATGCCAAATACTTTTTACTAAGTACAAAATTTGAGCCAGGGGCTGTGGCATGTGCCAGTAGTCACAGCTCCTCAGGAGACTGAGGTTGGAGGATCCCTTGAGCCCAGGAGTTCAAGTCCAGCCTAGAGACAGAGTGAGATACCACTCTGCCTCAACATACCAAGACTCTGCCTGTCTCTAAAAATAATAATAATAATAATAATAAATAAATAAATAAAAATGGACACATTTTAGGATCTATATTAGAGATCTATTCCAAAAGTTTAGTTCTCAAAAAGCTGAAACCTAAAGCCCCTTTATGTTATCACAGTCATCCTCACCTAAAAGGAAGGCTGAACAGATCTTCAGTCATGTAACGCTGACCCATTACTGCTACTGCTTCAGGTATACAACACCTTGGAATTCTAAATGATTGTTCTACAAACACTCAGCATCACCAATGTATCCAAGAAAGGAGACAAAGAAATTACATTATTATGATTTCTCAACTGGATGAGGTTCTTAGAGGCCCCAGTGTTGGAAAGATCACCATGCTCCCTCTATTATGTAAAACAAGTAAAAATGGTTCCAAACTATAAAATACTTGTAGGGAGTCCAGCAAAGAATTTACCTTTCCTGTGATGACTGCTTCTGTTATTTTTTTCAAATATAAAGTATCAAACATTTTAAAAAGAGGTTTTTGTGTGTGTACTTCTCCTTTGCTGATCAGAATGTGCCAGGTTTTCCCCTTGGCTGATCTAGTCCCATGTATTTTCATCACAAAAAGCAACTTGCTATGGAAAGTTGGTGCAGTGCTAGGATTTCAGTCCCTTGGGAGCAAGCTTACCAGTTAATAAACATATTTTTATTGAGCATTTGCTTTATGCCCAGTACTGTGTTAAGTAAAACAGGGAACTCTTAAGACTTACAAGTATGCAGGTGGTCATTTCATTCAAAGAACTTCTAATGTGGTAGAGAAAGATGAGTTCCACGAGAAAGGACACAATGATCAAACGTCAGTTGGGCTATGGGGATCTGGATGAGTATCTGGGGATACTTTGGAAAGAAGGCCTTTTAATAAGACATATTAAAAGCCAGAGCAAAATCTCTCCTTTCCCACACTCCAGGAGTTATTTTGAATTCCTTCTGTTTCTACTCAATCATAGTTAATTTCATCCCATTAGTTTAGTGCAGAAGACGTGTGACTAATAGGTATAGAAATAGAATTAGACTTTTTTCCATCAATAATTAACCCTGAAACAAAGGAGTAAGTGCTTTAATGAAGAAAGTAAAAGAAAAAGAAGAGAAAAGCAGTTTTCTTTGGGGAGATATGTCTTAATTTGGGCTTGAAGACTTGTAGTTTATTTGGGGACAGGGAAGAATGAAACAGAAAGAGGAAAAGCTGGCCCAGGATATGTGTTAGAAGGTGGTTACTCCTAATGGGCGGTGGTGGTTCACTTACTCTGGGGGCCCCATGAGGAAATGCGTAAAAAGCTCTCACAGGTTGGGTGTGGTGGCTCACGCCTGTAATCCCAGCACCTGGGGAGGCCGAGGCAGGCAGATCACGAGGTCAAGAGATGGAGACCATCCTGGCCAACATGGTGAAACCCTGTCTCTACTAAAAATACAAAAATTAGCTGGGCGTTGTGTGCACACAGAGGAAAGGCCATGTGAAGATACAGCGAGAAGGCAGTCGCTGCAAGCTGAGGAGAGACGTCTTACCTGAAACAAACCCCACCTTGGTCAACAGATAGGCCTTCGATTTTCAGGATTGTATGAGTCCTGATCACACAAATCGCAAGTCGTTGCTTGAGGAAATCCATGCTCAAATTCACCCTTATAACACTTACTACTTAACTAACAATTAATTAACTCCACAATTGTGGAGAATGTGTCCAAGATCTTACGTTCTCCACAACTGTGATGAATAAATTTGTTGCTCAAGTCACCCAGTCTGCAGTATTTTGTTACGGCAGCCTGAGCCAGCTAATATACTATCTAAATGAGTTCTGAAAAATGCTCAGGACTTATCCACATTGATTCTATTCCCCTGTCAGAGAAACATCTCCTCTTCTACAGGTGTCCAAGGAATTCCAAATCCTCCACTTTAAGGAGACTGGAATAAAGGTTTTTTTCATATCCAGGTGCCGCTTCAAAGCATGATTCTGCCTTTTAAAATTATTCTCCATGGGGCAGAAACAACTGGCAGAAATGATACCCTTTCTTGACTCCATAATCTACCCTGGGACCAATTCAGTGACCTGGTAGCTCCTTCTCAGGTCTTTACTAACACTATTAAGGAGAAGGCTACAGTGGAATATTTCTCACAGGAGTTTCACAATCATTTAATTTGTTGTAATATACTAATTTATCTTTCTGGGAAAGGTACACATAGCTTCTCATGTAATTTTCATAGACAAGAGTTATAATTTTCAAATCTCATATGTTTTCCACAAAAGAGGAAAAATTGATAAGTAGTAAGTGTTATGGGGCGAATTTGAGCGTGGATTTCCTCAAGCAACAACTTGCTATTTGTGTGATCCTCAATATCTATGGGCTGTATGCCTCAATATCTTCTTATATAACATGGAATAATAATAATAATATAATGCGATGATTAAATGAGATGGTGTATGTCAGATGCTCATTATGGTGTCTGGCATATACAAAGAACTCAATGCATGTTGGATTCTGATATCATCATGATCATAATCATCATCACCACCCCAAGAACAATTAGGCAGCTGGCATTTGCTCTAATATTCTCAACCATTAGGGCTATTTTTTTTTTTTTTGAGACAGAATCTTGCTCTGTCATCCAGGTTGGAATGCAGTGGCGCGATCTTGGCTCACTGCAACCTCTGCTTCCCGGTTTCAAGCAACTCCCCTGCCTCAGCCTCCGGAGTAACTGGGATTACAGGCACGTGCCACCACACCGGGCTAATTTTTGTTTTGTATTTTTAGTAGAGACAGGGGTCTCCCCGTGTTGGCCAGGCTGGTCTCAAACTCCTGACCTCAAGTGATCTGCCTGCCTTGCCCTCTCAAAGTGCTGGGATTACAGGTGTGAGCCACCACACTCCACCAGGGCTATTTGAATGCTCATGAGAAGTTCTAGAAATAACCGCTATCAGGGCAGGAATAATGGTTTCTCTTTGCTATGGGGCCCTCTCCCCTTTGTACTTCAAGGCCTCTCTGAGGTCCCAAGGTAATAAAGAAGGCAAAGACCAGTCTTGGGTGCAGAATCTTAGGTGCAGCTGATGCCATACCTTCGGTCCTTCCTGGCCATGTCCACAACCGTTAATAGTTAGTCCCCTGTGGTCCTTATGCAGCCATGCATCCTTTATTACTCAGCGAGTTATTACAGAGGATACAGTAAGCAGCCGGCCTATGCAATATTCAACTCCCATTTCGGAGATGTTCATCCTCAGTTGCCTCCTCCATTGAACTTGTCTCCTTATTGGCAGATTGTAACAAACAGAACACATTCATTTGAGTTTAAAAAGCCACCATATAAGGCTGGGTGCGGTCACTCACGCCTGTAATCCCTGCACTTTCGGAGGCCAAGGCGGGCGGATCACGAGGTCAGGAGATCGAGAGCATCCTGGCTAACATGGTGAAACCCTGTCTCTACTAAAAATACAAAAACTAGCTGGGTGTGGTGGCGCAGCTGGTGCAATCCCAGCTACTCGGGAGGCTGAGGCAGGAGAATAGCTTTAACCAGGGAGTTGGAGGTTGCAGTGAGCCGAGATCACACCACTGCACTACAGCCTGGCAACAGAGCAAGGCTTCGTCTCAAAAAAACCAAAAAAACCAAAAAAAAAACCAAAAAAAACCCCACATCTCTATGGATTTAGATGCTCACAAAATTTTCCTAACCTGGATGTAACCTCCCATATGCCCAATGCCAAAATATCAGGACTCACAAAATCCTGAAAATCAAAGCCCTATCTAAATACATCCTCATCACAAATGCTGCCCAAGGTAGAGGAAAGGCAGAGGAAATAATAGATTTAAGGGTACTGTACCTTTTAACTGTGGTCACAGAAAAGGATACGAGCCCAGAGAAGTATGAACTATCTACCCTCCTCTGGCCTTTAAGCAGGATTCAACATTGCTCATTCCTATTGCATTACCTAGCTGCCTTTTAAACCTTCCCACAACAGTCTAGAACAACTGCATTATACAGGAGCTCAGGGAGACCAATAATATTTGTATAAGGATGTGTATGAATATTACACAGTGCTGGGTTCCAACGGAGCTCGTCTGTGATGAAGAACTCACCCTTTTAAGAGTTTCTAATATTCCCAAAGCAAGGAATAGAAAGTCAGAAAGGCACACGCTTTAACCAAATGCAAAAGAGGTGGAGAAATACATGCTTCACAGTGGTTTTATTTTTGATAGGGAAAAATACAATAGGAAGATAAGGAGAGTGTCACTAGGTTAGCATAGGGTTTTGAAGAGCTAAAGTGAAAGTCAGAAGACTTTCCAAAGTGGGGATCCCACTTGTCAACCTTGATTCCTCTGATATGTGGTGTGATGAACACAATAAATTATATACTGAATTTCAACCCTCTTCTAGCAGGTTTTCCCTACTGCAGACACTACAAAGTTAAAATGACTTTTCCCAGCCTCCCTTGAAGCTAGGTTCAGGAAGTGATTGAGGTTCTCCTGATCCTTCACATTTGTGCAAGCCTTGAATTTGCAACTGAGGTACATAGGGTGACAGGCAGGTCACGTGACATCCAATTTCCTGATGTCTGTGATTTTGAGCCAGCAACTGTGACACTACTTCTAGTTTCAACAGGCAGTGTCCTCACTATGAGAGGGCCACAGCTTTCTGGGTAGCACAGTTATGTGGGGTAGCTTTGGGAGTACTTCCTGGAAACACAACTTAGAATCCATTTCTCCATGATTCCATAGCTATTTAATACAGGCAGTATTTCTCTTTTATTAAGCTATCCAGAGTGATTCCTCGTCTCTGCCAAAGAATGCTGCCAATACCCTGGTGTTATGGGATATTTGGAGTATTGATTTTTTTGCCAGAAACCTCTGTGGCTGGTGGCATCTTGGCCTGACTGCTTGTCCTGCATCCAGGAAGAATGAGGTATGCAGACAAGTGAAGGGTGAAGAAGATGAAGAGTTTTATTTAGTGTTGGAGACCCACAGTGGGTAGCTCCTCTCTGTAAGCAGGTCATCCTGTCGAATGTTCGGCTCTCAGCAGAGAGGAGGCCCTGGAGAGGGTGGCTCCTCTTGGCAGGCAGGACATCTCTGCAGCTCTCAGCAGAGAGGGTAACTCCTCTGCAGCTGGTTGTTGCGTCTGTCTCTCTGCCTTCTTCACCCTCTGGCCATCCTCTGCCCTGCTGGCTGAGCCTAGGACTTTTACAGACCTCAGAGGGGAGGAAGTGCATGCTGATTGGTCCATGGGCAGCCATGGGTGGGTCTGGAAGAGGCATCCCGAGTCTCCACTCTAGTCCACAGGACTGGCAGCCCAAGCCCCCAGCCTTCAGGCCCTCCCTGGCCTGAACATGGGGACTTACTGGGGACCTGCCCCCTTCTGCCCAGGAATCAATCTGCTTCCCACTGCCATTTATGGCCCCAACCCCACTCTGAGATCAGAGTAGGTTCTGGGACCAGAGGCACCAGGCAGTGGGAGCAGACACCTCTGAGCCTGCAGGCTGCAAAGATGCCCAGGTCCTGTGCCTGGGAGGGTGGCTGTTCCTGCCAACTCAGAAGGGGTGGGGTTCCTGCTTGTCCCTGGCTCCTGCCTGCTCTGTGGAGCAGGAGGCCCAGCTCTGCAGCTGCAGGTCTGGCAGTTGCTGTGGCAACCAGGCAGGCAGACCCTGCCTACTCCTAGCCCCCTCCAAGAGCACAGGGAGGCTCGGATATACAACCACAGTTTGGGTGGCTGTAGCCCCACTCAGGAGGGCAGGGCTCCCACCAGCTCCATGGATTGTGCAGTCCCAGCCATGCTTCCCTGCTGTAGCCAGCATCACTGGGATGGTAGAAGGTGCTGGTTCCTACAGGAGGAATAGGATAGACCCCTTGGTGACCTCATGGCAGGGGTATGTGCTCAACCTCTCAACTTGCTTAACTCTTTCCCAACTGGGAAGAGCTCTGTGCCACTCCACAAGGGCTACTGGGATATAGGAAAATATGACAGGAGGGTGGTAAGTGACCATTCATTGTTTGTTTCAAGAATACCCGAGTCAGTTTTGGAATAAGAGACTGAACTCTTTAACAGAGCCCACAGGCCCCACACAATCTGGCTTCTACATGTTTCACAAGTCTCATGAACTGTTGCCCCACTTTCTCTTGTCCAGCCACACTGGCCTTTTATTTTTCAGATTCACTGTACCCCTCCCTGACACAGAACCTCAGCCTGGAATATTCTTTAACTGGCCCCTCCTATTTGTTCTTAAATCAACCCTCCCATTGAATCTCAGACCTCAGGATGCCTGTATTCTATGCTCTCTGGACAAGTTCTACTTTCTTCATAACATGAGTCACGGCCAGAATTAAATAATGACTTATATCTAAGTTAAAAATAAGTTAAAAATAGATGTCTCCCCTGCCAGACAGGAACGTCCATGAGGGCAGAGACCTTGCCTTGCGCACTAGGAGATTCCCAGTGCCTAACAATGCTTCGTACGTGGTTGGTGCTAAGTACGTGGTTGGTGCTCAGTAAGTACATACTTGGTGCTCAGTAAGTATACTTGGAGTGAATGCACTCCGTCTCCCTGCTCCGACTTTGCTGCATCTCTCACTGGACATTGGCTCCCATGATTGCTGCAGCAAGGGAAGACGGCTGGAAAAATTGAGCACTGGCTGTTAAATGCTTCTGCCTGGGAGTGTCGCATCTCAATTACACGAACATTTTGATGGCCAAAGCAAGTCACAAGGCCACCTAAATTCAAAAAGGTAATCCAGGGAGAGGAGTAGAATGGCAGGTACTGGTGTGTAATAGTAATGTTTATCGCAGCCTCCTACCCAAGAAACTGACCTAAACATTAAGGTTGGGATAGGACGAAGGGTTGATTGTTCTGTAACTGGTGACTTGAGTTTTACCTCCTAAAATAAGTGCACTGCATTCTTTGCTCTAAGGAATATTTTTCCCATTTCACTCTTATTGTCATATTGTCATGTTCTTTACTGGCTAATGTGCTTTCTTTTTTTCTTTTCTTTTCTTTTTTTTTTTTTTTTGAGACAGAGTTTTGCTCTTGTTGCCAGGCTGGAGTGCAATGGTGTGATCTCGGCTCACCGCAACCTCCGCCTCCCAGGTTCAAGCGATTCTCCTGCTTCAGCTTCCCGAGTAGCTGGGATTATAGGCATGTGCCACCACACCCAGCTAATTTTGTATTTTTAGTAAAGATGGGGTTTCACCATATTGGTCAGGCTGGTTTCGAACTCCCGCCCACCTGGGCCTCCCAAAGTGCTGGGATTACAGGCATGAGCCACCACGCCTGGCTAAATGTGCATTCTTATCTTGGCAGCCCTAAGCTCAGGGCTTTACCAGAAATGCCCCTGTGACAATGAACTTTAGGTCAATAACAGAATCTGCTTACCCGGGCAGGCTCTTTGAGTATTCATTGCCTTCACAGGACAAGCAGATTTAGTCCCTTTGTTACATGTGAACCATGGATGGTTTGCTGTTGCTCTCCCTCATTTGCCTTGAAATACAGTTGCTCTTGGAGCTTTGCAGAATGGGCCTGCCTCAGCATCAGTCACACATTTATGAACATCTGTGACCTATAATGCCGTTACCGGGTATTAATAGGTGCAAAGAAATACAACTCATGGCTGTTGTCCTTAAGGAACTAACTGCCCAGCTGAGGAAGCAAGATGTTAATACCTTAAATTACTTATTACTTAAATTCATGGCTATGTATTTTTAAATACAGGTCAGGCAATACAAGAATTTCAGAGGTGAGAAAGCTCCACACAGCCAGTTACATAGTCAAAGTCTATGGGGATGTGGGAGGTGAGCTGGCTTGGGGGTGGTAGGACTCGGGTTTTGGAGGCTGGATGGCCCTCCTGAGCCTGGGCTTCTCCAGGGAGAGCCTGGGAGAAGATCAGGGAGGAAAAAGAGCACAACACAGATAGTGGAGCGAGGGCACCTACCATCAACAGCTGGGTGGAGGATGCCATAGAGCAGCAGGGGAGAAATGCTGAGAGCACAGCACTTCACCCAACAGTGGCCTTCCCTTCCCTTTGTCTTTCTCAGGTCATGTCAGTTCTGACCTCAGGCTTTCCCCAGGTCATAATGTAACCAGGCAGCTTAAATTCAAAATGCATTTTAAAACTTTTTTTTCTTTTTTTTTTTTTTGAGACGGAGTCTTGCTCTGTCGCCAGGGTGGAGTGCAGTGGCGCAATCTTGGCTCACTGTAACCTCTGCTTCCCAGGTTCATGCCTCCCCGGTTTAAGCAATTCTCCTGCCTCAGCCTCCTGAGTAGCTGGATTACAGGTGGGTACCACCATGCCCAGCTAATTTTTGTATTTTTAGTAGAGACAGGGTTTTGCCATGTTGGCCAGGCTGGTTTCGAACTCCTGACCTCAAGTGATCCACTCGCCTCAGCCTCCCAAAGTGCTGGGATTACAGGTGTGAGCCACTGCACCCAGACTGTATTTTGTTTTTAATTCCACAGGTATTTCAAAGAATCTCTGGGGAGGCTTAGAAGCTGCACTTATGGCACCAGGAAGCATGAATCATGCAGAATCCATTCTGAAGACATGGCCTTGGCTGTGGCAATTATATTAGGCTTCGAAGGCAGTAGGGGCCAAGGTTCTAGCAGAGAGCCTAGCCTGCCGCATCAATGGGGTCAATGGTGCAGAACGTGGTGTCTGCACTCAGCGGTAACAAGGAGAAAATAGAGATTAAAATTATTTGTCTCCTTTTGCCCAGCTTTGATTAAAAAGAAATAACTAAGACAAAACATCCATAAAGATGATGTGCTATGAAAGGCCTGAGTTGAAGTGACTTTCTGGGAGTGCTAGGTAACTGTTTGCTTGCTCTAGTTCATATTAAGAGAAAACTTTCAGCTTGCCTAAATGCTTTTAATGTATTTAAGCAACTTCAATGTAATTTATAATTTCTAGACTTGAAATAATTTGCTTGAATTTAGGATTTTTTTTTTGAGGAAATTGTTAGTTCACAAAATGCCTGTTATCCTTTACTTAAGTTGTAAATGACATCACTAGTATATATTTTCTATATTTTCATTTTTCTCCAGAAGGTTGTAAAAAGCCAGAACAGCTTTTAGTTCTTTGAGATTGTCACTGTGATTTCTCATCTCTCTTTCCCAAAAGACTTAATAAGAAAAAAAATTAATTTAAATTGTTTCTGTCAGATTCAGAAAACTCTAAATATAATAAGTAAGAGTTTTGTTCAGGAAATGCATCCCTTTTACCTTTTGTGTGCTGTGTACCTCTGCATTTCCAAATAACATGCTTATACTGTTATTTCATTTTTAGGTATTACCTATTGTCCTCTTTGTAGGACAAATGAGGATTTATTTCTGTTACATGTTTGCAAATTTCCCCTTTCCTCGGCATTCCAATATGGTTATTCCTGAGTTTTAACATATAGTGTTTATACTATTATGGCAATGTAAAAGTTGTTCACAGCTTAACCACAAAATATACCAAAAATGTGTAAGTTCACTCATTTAATGTGTACAATTCAATGACTTTAAATATATTCACAGTTGTGCAATCATCACCACAATCAATTTTAGGACAATTCCACATTTCTGTAGAAATGTGGAAATGAAACTCTATATCCTTTAGTTATAATATCCCTATCTCCTCACCCAATGTACAACTATTAATCTACTTTGTTTTATTCTGGCTATTTAATATAAACGGAATAATATATGTGGCCTTTTATGTTTGACTTCTTTCACTTAGCATATTTTCAAGATTTATTCATATTCAGTTATGTATCAATACTTCATTATATTTTTGTGCCTGAATAATATTGTTACTGGATCTTTGGGTGTCTATTTTCTTCCTGAAAACCCTGTGGCTGGTAGCACCTTTGCCTGAGTTCTTGTCCTGTGTCCAGGAAGAATGAGGTACACAGACAAGTGGATGGTGAAGAAGATGAAGAGGAGCTTTATTTAGTGTTAGAACAGCTCAGAGGAGACCCACAGTGGGTAGCTCCCCTCTGTAGGCAGGCAGGTCATACCCTCAGTGTTCAGTGCTCAGCAGAGAGGAGGCCCTTGGAGAGGGTAGTTCCTCCCTGCAGGCAGGTCATTTGGTCATTTGGTGGTCTCTGCAGATCTCTGAAGTTCTCAGCAGAGAAGGTGGCTCCTCTCTGCAGCTGGTTGTTCCCTCATCTGCTCAACTCTGGCTGAGCCCAGGGCTTTCATGGGCCTCAGAGGGGTTATTGTTGGAGGACTGGGTAGACTCCAAACTGCAACAACAGCTGGGTGTGGTGGCTCATGCCTGTAATTCCAGCACTTTGGGAGGCCAAGGTGGGCGGATCACTTGAGGTCAGGAGTTCAAGACCAGCCTGGCCAACGTGGTGAAACCCCATCTCTACTAAAAATACAAAAATTAGCTGGGTGTGGTGGTGAGCACCTGTAACCCCAGCTACTTGGGAGGCTGAGGCAGGAGAATTGCTTGAACCCAGGAGGCAGAGGTTGCAGTGAGCCAGGATCGCACCACTGCACTCCAGCCTGGGCGACAGAGCTAGAGTCCATCTCAATAAATACATAAAAACAAACAAACAAACAAACAAACAAACAAACAAAAAACCCCACTTCACCATCAACATTTTCATCTTGCCCAGAAACTGCTATCTAGAAGTTCTTCTGTTCTCTGGATTTTCTCTTGACTTATGAACCATACATCGTCTCATCTCTTAACACTCTAAGTATAATAGTGATTTGTAAAAGTCCCTTCTTCTCCCCACATTGTCTTTATTTTCCAAGTTTCATTTTTCTTACTGTTTCTGCACCTTGGTGTTATGTCAGAATCTTTCCTCAAATATCTTGACATCCTTGGTGCTCCACGCATATGTAGATTATGCATTATACTGGAATGTCTGTGTACAAAAGTAGGGCCTGTCAGTCAGTGGGTTTCTTTGTAACGTGCTTGGGCAGGGACAGATTCATTTAGCTGAAGGACTTTCAACAGTCAATATCTAGGTTTTTTCTCTTAGGCTGGCCAGTTTCTTCAGATAGTTGTCATCCACTCCACCTCTGTTATGTGGCGAAGTGGGTAGTTACATTTGGTTGTCAGGGTGTTCTTGGAGGAACAGAAGAGGGAATAGGGACGGGTTTCATAGCTCAGTTATAGACTTTACTTAAGCTCCTTTCAGATAAGGTATTCAAAACTTGACCAGTGTCTGAGTCTGGATCTTCTATGTTTCGACGTGTCGTGAAAATAAACATTCTTCTGCCAAGATGGGGAAGGGGTAGCCTCCTGGCTGCCCGAAGTGAGAAATAGAATTTAACAATTTAACCTCTTACAAATGTTTCGCGAATCATCTTGTGTGCAGCTCTACCCACACATCTCTTTCCTTCAGAGTTACCTTGTGCTGTCAATTACTGAGACTTTCGGGATTCTGACGTTTGAAAAATTTGTTCTCCCAATCCATGCAGACACTTAACTTTAAAGTCAGTTAAACTCATCCTCTTGCTCTCTAGTTTTCAAAGTTGTGTTAACATCTATCCAGTTCTCCTTATCCTTACAGATTTATGATTTTTTTAAAAATCTGTTGATTAAATAGGGTTTCAAGAGAAGTGGAGGTAAACACATATTTACCTCTGCCATCGTTTTAGTAGAACTTCCATATCATTCTTTTAATAAATTCCTTTTCTGCTTAAATTAACTAAAAATAGTACAGTGAACTAAAGTACTACAAATATATCTACAATAATGCCTCTTTAAGACAAGAGTTCTGAATAAGGCTGAACTAAGCTCATCAGACATAGAACTCAAGATACTGCGTGCCACCACAATGCCTTAGAACTGAGTGACTGAAGCTTTTTTTTTTCCGATTACCTAGGATTTTTATTTTATGCTTATTAAAAATCTATTTAGTAGTTAGGCATGGATTTTCTAAAATCATGTCACATTTGTGGATACATAAGAAGGAAAATAAAAGTAGAAATTGATTACTGTATTCTTAAAACTTTACATTTGGAGTTCAGTCCTCTGAATCACTTTCTATTTTTTTTTGAGATGGAGTCTCACTCTGTAGCCCAAGCTGGAGTGCAGTGGTGCAATCTTGGCTCACTGCAACCTCTGCCTCCTGGGCTCAAGCGATTCTCGTGCCTCAGTCTCACGAATAGCTGGGACTACAGGTGCACACTGCCACACCCGGCTAATTTTTTGTATTTTAGTAGAGATGGGGTTTCATCATGTTGCCCAGGGTGGTCTTGAACTCCTGAGCTCAGGAAATCTGCCTGCCTTGGCCTCCCCAAAGTGCTGGAATTACAGGTGTGAGACACTGCACCCAGCCTGAATCACTTTTTAAAAATACACTTAAAAATGTTTTAATTGTGGTAAAAACTACAGAACACAAAATTAACCATCTTGACCATTTTTAAGTATACAGTTCAGTAGTGTTAAATATATTCACATTGTTGTACAACAGATTCACAAAGTTGTACAAAGACGAACTTTTTCATCTTGCAAAACTGGAACTTTATACCCATCAGACGACTCCCTACTTCCCCTCCCCCTAGCCCCTGGCAAACACAATTTTTACTGTTTCCATGAATTTGGCTACTTTAGATACTGCATAGAAGAGGTGTCATACAGTATTTATCTTATTGTGACTGGCTTATTTCACTTGGCCTAATGTCCTCAAGATTCATTCATGTTGTAACAGGCAACAGAATTTCCTTTCTTTTTTTAATGAAATAAGACTGTGGAGAAAGAAAAATGCATCTCCCTTTGACAAACAACATTGAAAATATGATTCACTCTGAAACATTACATCAAAAAATGAAAGACTGGCTAGGTGCGGTGGCTCACGCCTGTAATCTCAGCACTATGGGAGGCCGAGGTGGGCGCACCACCTGAGGTCAGGAGTTTGAGACCAGCCTAGTCAACATGGTGAAACCCCGTCTCTACTAAACATACAAAAATTAGCCACGTGTGGTGGCGGATGCTTGTAATCCCAGCTATTTGGGAGGTTGAGGCAGGAGAATCACTTGAACCCAGGAGGCAGAGGTTGCAGTGAGCCAAGATTGCGGCACTGAATTTCAGCCTGGGCAACAGTGAGACTCCATCTCCAAAAAAAAAAAAAAAAAAGAATAAAGAAAGAAAGACCTTTAAAGACATTCCTCAAAAATTTTAAATTATATTAAACCCAAACCTAAGGATTGACAAGAAAGGAAAGGTATTCCTTACTTTTGCAAAAGTAATAAATAAAAAGAGCTTACATGCAAGAGAAATGACGTGTCAAATATGTATTATTACTCTTGAGGCTTCATGGCAAAACCTTAACTATTAAGAATATAGTAAATATGGAAAGTATCTGCTCAATTAATATTGATGAGTTGAATTGAAATATCAGCCATTTCTTATTCCTAAGGGCTCTTAAGTGAATGCTTTTGACCCTGGTAGAAGGGACAAACCCCCAGTTTTTAGCTGCTGTATTGTGGTGGTTGTGCTGTGATCTGCAAATTTTCCCAAATTCCTTTTCCAGGGATTTCCTTTATAAAGTCCAGTTCAGGGATAAGGAGGAAGCGGAAGGTTTACTGAAGCTAAGATTTTAAAGATGGACTTGGTTTGGGAAGCCTGAGGGCTTATTAAAGTTTTTATATAAAGAGGAATTTCCCAGACATATTTTCAAGAAAAAATTATTATTATTTTTAAATATGAGTATGGTAACCTAGCACTTAACTACTATACATGAAGAAATGTGCAAATGCTTCCCCCTTTTCATTCAAAAGCCTTCCTTCCTCTGGCATGGTCCTTTCTTGTTGCCTTATTAGCCTCCTGGTTGCTTTCTATTCTCCTGTTCCTTTCCTCTCCTTCACATCCTCTTCTGTTCCTTGGTTCTTGTGTTTCTTGGCTTCCTGGCTCCCCTGTTCCTTAGTGTACTGATCTTCACAGAGAACTGGCTGGGCCTCAGAAGCTGGGTGTGGTTTCACCTGGGTAAATTACCACATCCTGGAGCACCCTCCAGCACTGTTTTCTTAGGACTTGGGGAGTTGGAGTCAGTGCATTTGGGGGGAGGATAAAAAAGTGAAACCATTTACTGAGCTAGCTCCCCAGAGAATAGCCCTGTCTAAATCTCCAAATGGTGAAATTGGCTGAAAATGACCATGGAGGTGTCCTGGGTGGGGGGCCAGAAGAGTAGCAAATTGAGAAAGGCCTGGGGTGATGGTGGAATCAGGGTGAGGCAGCCAGGGCTGCAGGTCATGTTTAGATTTATGAGTTAGCGCCCCTTTCCTTCTTCTTTTCCACCTAACCCCCTGAGACTCTAGTCAGCTGTGCTGCTGTGCATGGAGTAATTGTTTAGTTCCACTGCTGTCTGTTGCTGGGTAAACCAGGGCTGGGCCCTGCTCTAATATGAAAGGAAGATTTTAAAAGAAAAATGGAATGTCCAATTGTGACTTCCAAAGCAGTGCTCCAAGTGCATGGAACATTCCAGCCCTCACGAGTGGAGGTGGGCTCTGCAAGGTCCATTTTTAGGATTCCCTGTGTAAAATGTTTCTTGGACCATTCTGGAACATAATGTTACAGAAAGAGCTATTTTATTAGAGAGGAGACTATGAAAACTGTAATTTCAAGAATACTTCTGCTGGGCATGATGGTTCACACCTTTAAGCCCAGCACTTTGGGAGGTCGAGGTGGGCGGATCACTTGAGGCCAGAAATTCAAGACGAGCCTGGCCAACATGGTGAAAATCCATCTCTATGTCAAAACAAAACAAAACACTTCTGTGTATCCCTTTAGTTTAAGTCCTTAGCCCTCCCATAAAATATAAGCAAATTTCAGGAGAGATAATAGATTGACCTTTACGAATCCTTTTTAGCTTCAATTCATACCAGACCTCACCCCTAACCTCCACACCCCCTGACCCACATCCCCACCTCCAATGCTAGGCTCTTCCAGCCGTTCCTGCCTGGGAGCTCTTGAGCTTACCCTTTCTTCTGCCTGGGATACTCTTCCCTCTCTTAAAAAGCTAACTCGCAGTCCTTCAAAACCCAGGCAATGTCACTCACTGTTCCAAGTCTGTTCTCCAAGGCATGCTTAGTTTACTGTGGGTTCCCTGACCACCTCCCATCTCTTGGCTCTTGTCCCACTCAATCAATGGCATACAGGTCCATCTTCCCACCAGGTTAAGATCCCATCAAAGACAAGAACTGTCTCTTGTTCGTCATTGAATCTTTTGCATTTAGAACATTAACTGGCCCACAGTAGATTCTTTAAAACTATTTATGGAATGAATGAATTCTTTACTGCCAACATGTTTCAGTGGGGTGGTGGTGCAGGGTTGGGGGTAGAGAAAATATGAATATGCAAAGAGAAAAAGGAGCTTATGTGCAAAGGAAGGAGGTGGGGGTCACCAGAAGGCAGAGGTCGCTGAAGGCAAACTCCTCTGGGGACAGCTTTGCAAATGGCCAGTCCCTTTTAAAGGCATATTAAGTCTTCAGGTAACTAATTGACAGCTGTAATTTAAGATGTGTTGACACACTTGATGTGCTTGCCAAAGTCATGCTTAATGACTTGTATCTCACACAATGAAATAGGGCAAAGTTAAAAACTCAAATTGCTTTGAGTTTGTATTGGCTTCTGGATCCTGGGTTACATCATTCTTATTTTCATGTTAAACATTAACAGCAATAAAAAAACAGAAAAAGAAAGGTGGTGCGGCAGGGAGTGGGGGGCAGTCATGTAGGGGAGGATATTTTGATTGAACACAGGCTTGACAGAATCTTCTTTTCTTCTTAGAAATCCTAGAAAACAGAAAGCAACAGGAAGATGTCTTATTGGGAACTACCCCCATCAACTTCACCATGAGTCAAACAAGGAAGAAAACTTCCTCAGAAGGAGAAACTAAGCCCCAGACTTCAACTGTCAACAAATTTCTCAGGGGCTCCAATGCTGAAAGCAGAAAAGAGGACAATGACCTTAAAACAAGTGATTCCCAACCCAGCGACTGGATACAGAAGACAGCCACCTCAGAGACTGGTAAGCTGCTGGCTGCTGGTGTTTTTGCTGTTGTATTTGTTTTGTTTTTACTTCCACATTTAAAATATTTTTATTTTTAATTTTTGTGGGTACATAGTAGGTGTATATATTTATGGGGTATATGAGATGTTTCAATACAGGCATGCAATGCCTAATAATCATATTGTGGAGAATGGGGTATCCATCCCCTCAAGCATTTATCCTTTGTGTTACAAACAATCCCATTATACCTTTAGTTTTATTTATTTATTTATTTATTTTGAGACAGAGTTTCACTCTTGTCACCCAGGCTGGAGTGCAATGGCGTGATCTCAGCTCATAGTAACCTCTGCCTCCCGGGTTCAAGCGATTCTCCTGCCTCAGCCTCCCGAGTAGCTGGGATTACAGATGCGCACCACCATGCCCAGCTAATTTTTGTGTTTTTAGTAGAGATGGGGTTTCACTGCATTGGCCAGGGTGGTCTCGAATTCCTGACCTCAGGTGATTTTCCTGCCTTGGCCTCCCAAACTGCTGGGATTACAGGTGTAAGCCATCACACCAGGCCTCTTTTAGTTATTTTTAAATGTGCAATAAATTATTGCACATTTAAAAATAACTAAAAGAGCACAACGGGTTGTTTGTAAACAAAGGATAAATATAGTCACCCTGTTGTGCTATCAAACAGTAGATCTTATATATTCTATTTTTTCTGTACCCATTAACCATCCACACCTCCCCCACCAACAACACACACACCCTTCCCAGCCTCTATGTTTCTTTATTTTTTAGAGTTTTCTTCTAAAGTGATCTTATGGGTTAAACTAAAGACTTTAAGACTTTTGAGACTAAAGACTCAACTATGAGTCTCTGTGCTAATCATTTATTATGTTACTTACATGCTTTAAATGATTCATAATTTTACTTTTAAATTGTTAAAAGCAATATAACACTACAGAAAAATGTAGGGAAAATACTGAATTTCCTTTCATTATAACACAAACGATCATTTCTTTAAGATTCTTTTCAGTCTTTTCTTTTCATATGCATGCATTTATGTTCTGTCAGTCAGCAGTCAATAAATCTTTATTGAGTGCTTGCTATGTAGTAACCCCTGCTCTAAGTGTTAGAAATACAGCCATGAAAAGGACCAAATGCAGATATAACTTCAGGTGGTGATAAGTGATATGAAGAAAAATAATGCAGGCTAAGGAGACAAAGAATGATGGGATGGGGTGCTATTTAGATGGGGGTGGAGGAAAGAAGTCTTCGATTTGGAGGCATTTGAGCAGCAATCTGAATAAAATCAGCTTTGCTGAATGAATGAATAAAGCGAGCCACTTAGGTATTTGTGCAAATAGCTTTCCAGGCAAAGAGACTGTACATGCAAAGGCTTTAGATACGACTGAGCCTAGAGTGCTTGAGAGAGAGTCAGGAAGTCAGGGATGCTAAAGCAGGATGGGAGACATGGAGAGGAAGGGGTAGTGGAAGACAAGTCAGAGAGGTCGCTGGGGCCAGATTGGCATCTTTTCCACAGTTGTAATAGCTTACAGATTCCTCCTGAGTTTATGTGGAGCTGTGATCCTACTTCTAGAACATATTATTATATTGCTCAATTCCCACATTGCTACATGATGCTCATATGCATAATTTTCATGGTTGCATAATATTCCATCACATTCATATGTCTTAATTACTCAGTGAGTTCCTTGTTTGTCCTTCGGTGAGTATCTTTGGCTTTCTTTCTTTCCCATTCCCTGTTTCACCATATTTCAGCTATTTTTAAAGTATAAATTTCCAGAACAGGGATTGCAAATTCAAGGGTTATGAAAATAAATATTGTCAAATCTCTCTCTAAAGTTATGTGTTATGTGCAATGTCATCAATATATTATCTATTAGATTAAAAGCATTTTAAAAACATTTTAAGCATATGCAAAAATAGAATAAAGAATCCCCATAGTCACCTACTTTTAGTAATTATCAGTTGGGCATGGTGTTTCATGCCTGTAATCCCAGCACTTTGGCAAGCTGAGGCAGGAGGATCGCTTAAGGCCAGTAGTTTAAGACCAGCCTGGGCAATATAGCAAGACTCTGTCTTGGTCGGGTGCGGTGGCTCATGCCTGTAATCCCAACACTTTGGGAGGCCGAGGCAGGCATATCATGAGGTCAGGAGATCGAGACCATCCTGGCTAATACGGTAAAACCCAGTCTCTATTAAAAATATAAAAAAGTAGCCGGGTGTGGTAGCAGGTGCCTGTAATCCCAGCTACTCGGGAGGCTGAGGCAGGAGAATCGCTTGAATCCGGGAGGTGGAGGTTTCAGTGAGCCAAGATTGCACCACTGCGCCACTGCACTCCAGTCTGGGCGACAGAGCAAGACTCTGTCTCAAAAAAAAAAAAAAAAAAAAAGACTCCATCTCTAGAAAATAGTTTAAAAATTAGCTGGGCATGGTGGTGCATGCCTGTGGTCCTAGCTACTCTGGAGGCTGAGGTGGGAGGATCGCTTGAATTTTAGAGGTTGAAGCTGTGGTAAGCCATGATTGCACCACTGGACTCCAGGCTGAGTGACAGAGCAAGACCCTCAAAAAAAAAAAAACAAACAAACAAACAAAAAAAACCCATGGCCAATTTTCTTTCTGAGACAGAAAAAAAAAAAATCAACCCATGGCCGATTTTGTTTCTTTCTTTCTTTTTGAGACAGAGTTTCGCACCGTCACCCAGTCTGGAGTGCAGCAGTGTGATCTCGGCTCACTGCAACCTCTGCCTCCCAGGTTCAAGTGATTCTCTTGTCTCAGCCTCCCAAGTAGCTGGAACTACAGGTGTCCGCCACCATGCCCAGCTAATTTTTTTGTATTTTTAGTAGAGAAGGAATTTCACCTTGTGGGCCAGGCTGATCTCGAAGTCCTGACCTTAGGTGATCTGCCTGCCTTGGCCTCCCAAAGTACTGGGATTACAGGCCTGGCCAGGAGCCACTGTGCCTAGCCAATTTTATATCATTTATACCTACCCTCCCTTCCATCAGATTGTTTGCCATCAAATGCCAAAAATAATACAGTTTTAGCAGCAAGTAGATTAAATGTATTTTAAGTATGTTTTTATAAATAGGAAATTAAAGTCTGTCTTTAAAAGAAAACCATCTCTATCAGAAAATTGTTCATTTTTGTTCTAGAGTGTGATTTAGAGCATCAGGAAAGAAGATAATGAATAAATGTAATTGTGATTAAATTAACAGTGCAAAACCAAGCCGGGGTCATCCCTGCTGTGCAACACTGACCACCCAAGCTGCTTGGTTCTTCATTTCTATTTCTCCCAAAATTCTATGGCTCCTGGAGTCATGTTAATTCTGTCCTTAAATAGCTCTCCCACCTGGTTCTTCCTCTCCATTGCTGCTGCCTAGCTCTCATTGTCTCTTGCCTGGACCACAGCAATAGCTTCCTAACTGGTTTCTCTGCTTCCAGTCTTGCTCTCTTGCCAATCTGTCCTCTACACTGCCATAATGCTCTTTCTAAACCACAGATATGGTGGTGTCTCTCGCCTGCTTAAAATCCTTCACTGAGTTTCTCTCACCTATATTCCCAAGCATGGCCCTCAAGGTATTAGTGATCAGTTGGATATTGGATATCTCTTCATGACCTTTGCCTTCTCCCACCTCCCACCACAGCGCCGCCCTCATCCTCTACGTGTGGCCCTCTGATTTACTTATAATTCCCTGGACTGGCCACATTCTTCTCCCATCCCCAGCAAGTGGTTCTTTGTGGCTAGAAAGATGTTCCCTCGTGTCACCATCCTCCCCTGCAACCCCCCGACTTATCCCTCCCTCATGTCCACCCACCTGGATGACTCCCACTCTTCCTTTAAGGTGCAATCCAGGCACCAGTTTCTCTTGGAAACTTCCCAAGACCCTCCTCCCCGACCTGGAATCACCAGACTTGAGGTACTTATTGTCACTGAAGTGTGGAACCACACACCCCTGCGTGCCTCCACTTCTCATCTATACGGTAACGGTGGCTTTCTTGCTGTCTCTTTCATTAAACAGGCAGCTCTTTGAAAACAGGAACTTGTTATGTTGGTTCCTGGTACAGTACCACCCATGTTACCAATGTGTAATAATGTTTTATGAGTGTCGAGAGTTTTGGTTGACAAACCTTGACAGATTTCAGTCGGAAAGGAACTTAGTGAGAGCACTAAGAACCGAGAGCTTTGTTCAGAGCTAACACAGCTAGGAAAAGGCCTCAATCTCCACAGAGCGGCTCCTGTGTGGTTACTAATGCGCCCCCCATGGGTGCCTCCCACCCCACTCCAGCCTAGCTGTAGCAGCCCTGACTCACTTGTTCTACACACTGAGCTGTGACATAAGGTATCCTGTGAAGAGAAGGCTTCATATAATTTTTCTTTTTTTTTTTTTTGAGATAGAGCCTTACTCTGTCGCCCAGGCTGGACTACAGTGGCGCAATCTCGGCTCACTGCAACTCCACCTCCCGGGTTCAAGAGATTCTTGTGCCTCAGCCCCCTACTAGCTGGGACTACAGGCACCCGCCACTACACTGGGCTAATTTGGTTTCATAGGTTTTTTTTTTTTTGAGATGGAGTCTTGCTCTGTTGCCCAGGCTGGAGTGCAGTGGGACAATCTCGGCTCACGCAACCTCTGCCTTCTGGGTTCAAGCAATTCTCCTGCCTCAGCCTCCCAAGTAGCTGGGATTACAGGTGCATGCCAGTACGCCTGGCAAATTTTTGTATTTTTAATAGAGACGGTGTTTTGCCATGTTGGCCAGCCTGGTTTTGAACTCCTGACCTCAGGTGATCCACCTGCCTCAGCCTTCCTAAGTGCTGGGATCACAGGCATGAGCCACTGCACCTGGCCGGTTTCACAGATTTTTTAAAAATTGAAATACATGATCTGTGAGGAGATGTCCAGGGGTCTCATAAGTTAGTACTCACATTTATATTTAAGTGTTTTGATAAAGATTTATCATGATGATTTATTTTGGTAATTGAGGAACTGTAAAACCAATATTCATTCATTCAATTGTTTGCTCATTTAACAAATATTTACCAAATACCTCTCAGGTAAAAGGCCCTGCAGATTACCATGTGCATAGGAGGTTCCAGTAAGTTTAAATCACGATGCTCTTGAGAAATGAACCAGGCATTTCATAGATGAGTAAACCAAGGCTCAGAGAGGTTGAGTGACTTGTTCCTCAGACAGACCTGTGATTTGGATCAGGTCTTTTGACTGTACTGCTTACTTGTCAGTCACATCAAACATGACAGAGCACCCAGTGGGATGTGGACTGAGAAGAGATTTCTGCGTCTGTCAGTTTGTAGGTTATTGTTGGTGACCTTTGAGAAACAATGTATTTGGATAGAGGAGTGTAGCAACCAGAAGGTAGAGGGTTAGCTTGTAAATGTGGGGAAGGAGTTGGGCCAGCAAGTGGAAACCACTCTTTCCAAACATTTGACAGTAAAGGAAATGCTTGACAGAGCAGTGTCTTGAGGAGAAAACAGAAGAGTGGGTTTGGTGGGGCTGGAACTTGAGGATGATTGTAGGTCGAGATAAAAAGCTTAAAAACAAAAGAGAGACAGCAATAAGATGCAATGCAGAGAAATTTTTTAAAATACAAAAATAACACACACACACACACACACACACACACTAGGCTTTGGAACAAACTATTCTGGGTTCAAATTCAGGCTCTGCTTCTTCCTAATTAATCGTGTCTCTAAGTTTCCAAATCTATGAAATGGTTTGTGACTCGTTTAGACAAAATGTCCTGTACTTGCTGGCACCTAAGAGGCAGTCCCTCCCTGTCTCCCATCCACAATTCTGCTCTGCCCCACCCAAAATTAGGGTTGCCAGAGAAAATACATGCAACAGTTGAGGCATACAATAAAACAATTCCTTGTCGATTTAAAATTTAAATTTAACTGGGCACCCTGTTGTTGTTTTTCCTAAATCTGGCAACTCTACCCAAAATTAAATGCCTTGTGTCCAATGTGCCATAAAAACGGAAGGCGAGAGTGAAAGGTTAAATGGTGGATGCTGCTGCCTCCTACTGGTGAAATGTGGTAACACCAAGCATCCCAACAAGGACGCGTATCCTACGTGTGGTTTTCTTAGACCAAACAGGAAGCCACAAGACTGCTGTGGATTACAGGTGTAGTTTTTATTATCCTGCTAATCATTTGGTCTAAATTTATTACTACTGCAAACCTACTATCTTTTAATTTTCACAGGTACCAATGTATTTCTTCTTAGCTATGTTGTCTTACACCTTTTTGTCAGGGTTAATAAAATATTACTGCTCATTCCAGAACTTATTATTTCCTATTGGATTTCAATATACATAATCTATATGTTTAAAATTGTATATTTCACTTACAAAATCACTTTAAAATCACTGTCAGTACATGTATATTCATTTTTCCTTAGAAAAGTATGATGTGTTTTATGTATGTCTTAAATGCTGGCACCTGGCCTGCCATGGTGACTCATGCCTGTAATCCCAGCACTTTGGGAGGCCGGGTAGGTGGATCACCTGAGGTCAGGAGTTCGAGACCAGCCTGGCCAACATGGCGAACCCCTCATCTCTACTAAAAATACAAAAATTAGCCGGGCGTGGTGGCAGGCGCTTGTAGTCCCAGCTACTCGGGAGGCTGAGGCAGGAGAATTGCTTGAACCTGGGAGGTGGAGGTTGCAGTGAGCTGAGACTGTGCCACTGCACTCTAACCTGGGTGACAGAGTGAGACTCCATCCCCCCCAACAAAAAAAAAAAGAAAGAAAAAAGAAATGCTGGCACCTGCAAGTAGGCAAAGAACGAGTACATAACAGGTGCTCAATAAAATGATAGCTTTTATTATTATAGTGCTATCTTTTTTATTTATTTATTTATTTTTTTTAGATGCAGTTTCTCTCTGTTGCCAGGCTGGTGTGAAGTGGCACAATCTCAGCTTACTGCAATCTCTGCCTCCTGGGTTCAAGATATTCCCCTGCCTCAGCCTCCTGAGTAGCTGGGACTACAGGTGTGCACCACCACGCCCGGCTAATTTTTTGTATTTTAGTAGAGACAGCATTTCACCATGTTGGCCAGGATGGTGTTGATCTCCTGACCTCATGATCCACCCGCCTCAGCCTTCCAAAGTACTAGGATTACAGGTGTGAGGCACCGTGCCCAGCCACTAGCATGTTATTACAGTGTTATTACAGAGGAAGCTAGTGAGGGTGCCACAGTAGTCCCTAATAACAAGGAGGACAGACGAGGCTTTCCAAATTCACTTTCTGGCAGGAGTTGAGAAAAAGCAAAAGCTCTCCCAGGCCTAGTTTCTCTGGATTTGTGTTTGCCAATTGAATGGTCTAGAAACTGACCGGCAAGAATTCCACTTACTCCGTGTGGCCATTTGCAGCTCCTTGATGGTGATTTCAACGCTTTCCCTTCTTCACCTGTTTGGTTTGAGGAGGCAAGTATCTCTGCTTCCTCCCTAGCAGTTGCATCCACCAAAGATATGCGTGCCCTTCAAGTAAGCAAGCATCTCAAAAGCCGGGCTGACAGGTTTACTTCTCACCCAGGAATGCAGCTCTGTCTTCATGCTGAGAAGCCCAGGTCAGGTCATGATAGAAAAGCCACTGCGTTCCTCAGGCTCCTGAAGCAGTGTCTGGGCACCTGGCGGCAGGAACAGTGGTTAGTTAAGCTTTGTCCCTAGTAAATGGCTCTGCCTCTGAGTTGAGGTTTTTATAAAAGAGCAATTCAGAGTTATGCAGTCTTTTCACTTGTCTGATTGTGGTCATTATGCATCTTTAATACATCCATCATTAACAGCAAATTCTTTTTTATGCTTATCACACAGCTAAGCCTCTCAGTTCAGAAATGGAATGGAGATCCAGTATGGAGAAAAATGAGCATTTCCTGCAGAAGCTGGGCAAAAAGGCTGTCAACAAGTGTCTAGATTTGAATAACTGTGGATTAACAACAGCGGACATGAAAGAAATGGGTCTGTATGCAGCAGACTTTGCATAGAGGAAGATAGGGCCTTTCCATTGAGATAAGCAGATAAAACATACTCAGCTACCCACCTAGTAACCCCAAGTCTGCTGAGTGGTCCCAGACAATTGCAGAAACAGCATCGCTTTTTTTTTTTTTTTGAGACGGAGTCTCGCTCTGTCACCCAGGCTGGAGTGCAGTGACGCATCTCAGCTCACTGTAAGCTCCGCCTCCCGGGTTCACGCCATTCTCCTGCCTCAGCCTCCCGAGTAGGTTTTTTCTTTTTTCTTTTTTCTTTTTTTTTTAAGAAAAAGGCCAGGCGCAGTGGCTCACGCCTGTAATCCCAGCACTTTGGGAGGCCGAGGCGGGTGAATCACGGGGTTAGGAGTTGAAGACGAGCCTGGCCAAGATGGTGAAACCCCGTCTCTACTAAAAATACAAAAGTTAGCCAGGCGTGGTGGCGGGTGCCTGTAATCCCAGCCACTCGGGAGGCTGAGGCAGAGAATTACTTGAACCTGGGAGGCGGAGGTTGCAGTGAGCCAAGATCGTGCCACTGCACTCCAGCCTGGCGACAGATCGAGACTCCGTCTGAAAAAAAAAAAAAAAAAAGGAAAAGAAAAACAAGTTAATTGATCCTTCCTCAAGTTTTGAAGACTTCAGCTGAGTTTAGGAAAAGAGGCTGTATGAAATCTTACAGACACACTCCTGCATTTTCAGACTGCAGTTATTTGGCAGAAATAGAAAACATCCCAAGAAATAGCAAATGTAAACATCACAATTTCTCCACTTGTACAGCTGAGGGCTCCCTGCTTTGCCCAAAGTCAGCGTGCCTACCACTGTCTATTCTCTTACAGTGTAAAACTATATCCTGTGTATGTAAGCATTGCATTTTATTTACTACAAATCACAAGTCACATACACATATCTGTATTTTCTTCTGTTCACTTCTAGTTGCCTTGCTGCCTTTTCTCCCAGACTTGGAAGAACTGGATATCTCCTGGAATGGTTTTGTAGGTGGAACCCTCCTTTCCATCACTCAGCAAATGCATCTGGTCAGCAAGTTAAAAATCTTGAGGCTGGGTAGCTGCAGACTCACCACTGACGATGTTCAAGCACTGGGTATGATGAATGCATTTCTTAAAAGATGGATTCGGCCGGGCGCCGTGGCTCACAGCTGTAATCCTAACACTTTGGGAGGCTGAGGCTGGCGGATTGCCTGAGCTCAGGAGTTCGAGAACAGCCTGGGCAACATGGTGAAACCCTGTCTCTACTAAAATACAAAAAGTTAGCCGGGTGTGGTGGTGGGCTCCTGTAGTCCCAGCTACTCAGGAAGCTGAGGCAGGAGGATCGCTTGAACCTGGGAGGCGGAAGTTGCAGTGAGCCGAGATCGTGCCACTGCACACCAGCCTAGGTGACAGAGTGAGACTCCATCTCCAAACAAAAAAAAAGAAAAGAAAAGAAAAAAAAGAACAAGGCTGACCAGGTCCCTGCTTTCATGGAGTTTATTTATTTATTTATTTTTATTTTTATTTTTTTGAGATGGAGGCTCACTCTGTTGCCCAGGCTGGAGTGCAGTGGTGCAGTCTCGGCTCACTGCAACCTCTGCCTCCCAGGTTCAAGCAATTCTCCTGCCTCAGCCTTCCAAGTAGCTGGGATTACAGGTGTGAACCATCACACCTGGTTAATTTTTGTATTTTTAGTAGAGATGGGGGTTTCACCATGTTGGCCAGGCTGGTCTCGAACGTCTGACCTCAGGGAATCCACTCACCTTGGCCTCCCAAAGTGTTGAGATTATAGGTGTGAGCCACCGTGTCCAGCCTCATGTAGTTTCAATGGAGGTTACTGTAAAACATGCTTACACTGGGTCTGTTACTTCATGTGTAAAATAGAGGAGTTAGAGTAGACAAGAATTAAGTTCTTTTACAATTCCAAAAGAATACTTCTCTCTTCTATTTTCCCACCCACATTTTGAAACATTAAACAAAACAAGATTTTTAAGTTAATAGTTTAACTAGAACTAGAACCTCCATTAAGTTAGTTTCATAGGATTAAATTTGTACACAGTCATTCTACTTATCCAACTGCTGTACTAAAATGCTTGCTGGTTTATTAGATGTCTTTGATACTTTTTATTCTTCTTTTGATGTAAAGTTTCTTATTTTCATGACTTATTTTAATCCTTTACAGCTATTTAAAGATTTCTGTAAAAACAACACATTTTATGCCAAATATCTCCGCTTGTCAGTCTCTCCCTGGAAATGGGGGCAGCTGACGTCCCCCGGCCCATGCCTCCTGTAGCTGAGGAGAAACATTACACATCTCAGGTTGGCCAGATCCTACTTCAAATCCTAGTGCCTACCCGCCCCCCCGGCCTTTTTTTTTTTGAGACGGTGTTTCATTCTTGTCACCCAGGCTGGAGTGCAGTGGTGCAATCTTGGCTCACTGAAACCTCTGCCTCCCAGGTTCAAGTGATTCTCCTGCCTCAGCCTCCCAAGTAGCTGGGATTACAGGAGTGCACCACCATGCCCGGCTAATTTTTTGTATTTTTTTGTATTTTAGGCGTGCACCACCATGCCTGGCTAATTTTTGTAATTATTTTGTATTTTTTTTATTTTTAGTAGATCCTACTTCAAATCCTAGTGCCCATCCCCCACCCCCCCCCTTTTTTTTTTTGAGATGGCGTTTCATTCTTGTCACCCAGGCTGGAGTGCAGTGGTGCAATCTTGGCTCACTGAAACCTCCGCCTCCTGAGTTCAAGTGATTCTCCTGCCTCAGCCTCCCAAGTAGCTGGGATTACAGGCATGTACCACCATGCCTGGCTAATTTTTTTGTATTTTTAGTAGAGATAGGGTTTCACCATGCTGGCCAGGCTGGTTTTGAACTCCTGACTTCAAGTGATCTGCCCGCCTTGGCCTCCCAAAGTGCTAGGATTACAGGCGTGAGCCACCATGCCCAGCCTCTAGTGCCACTTTTAACTAGCTTTGTGAACATGAACAAATAATTTAAATTTCTGAGCCTCGGTTTTCTTATATCTGAAATAGGGATAACCTCCCTCTCAAAAAATTGTTGCAAGGATTAAACAATTTCTGTAAAGTGCCTACTGCATGCCTGGTGCATAATAGTTGCTCAATAACTGATAGTCCTTCTTTCTCCATTCTGTCATCTAAAACCACCTTTCTGTGGGTTTACATGATGAGTTTAGCCCCACATTAAGCAGCTGGTTATCATGTAGCAGACTCACAATTTTAACATACCATTACTCAGGTGTGAAAAGACAACTTTCTTATTTTCTGTGATTAACCTGATCTTTTTCCTGACCCTCCATCCTTAGAAAACAAGAAAATGAAATTTCTGCCCTGGGACCTGTTCCAAACTTACCTGGTTGAGGAGGGAGTCTGCACTGTTGTTGTTCTGATGTTTGCGCCCTTTTCCCTCTCCCAGAGTTATTTCTTCTCTGGAAGGACTTCTGCATCCTCTCCCATCAGGAGGGGCTTACCTATCACCCATACTCTATCTTCTTCACTCAACCTTAATGCAGATGGGGTATAGGGAAAATAAATGGTTTCTTGATAAGAGAACATAAATCAGAAGGCATTTCAAAATTGTTACACCCATTATAATAGTTTAGTACCGAGTGGCAAATGCATGGCACTCCAGTACCATGACCACTGCAGACATAACTAATCAATCATGAGCTCTTTCTCCCTGAGCCTGGGGAACACCTCAGGGCTATAGAAAGTCACCCCCAATTGACTGGTAATAGCACAAAAAATGATGCCTGTTCATTGCTGGCTTAAGATGCTATAACTCCTGGGGAATACGCATTTTAGCATGGGGTTCCTGGACTTCTAAAACCTTAATCCATGGAATGAATAAACCATGGTAGAAGTTCAAACCCAGGGACAGGTAGTAAAGAGGGTTCTAGATACAGGGGACTTGCCAGAATGCTTAATTGTTTGCACATTGAGAAAGTACATTTTCCATGTATGTGTCTACCCGCAAGGCAGTGAAAATCATTCCTAAGGACAGATCTGTTTGGTCACTTCTCCTATTCTCTCCCAGCCTCCACTCTGCAGCCCTGGGAGCTTTCCAGTGTGTAATGGTTTCAGAAATGTTAGTTTTCATCCCTGTGTCACTGCACCCTCCTTTACCCCTTAAGGCAGCACGGCTGTTATAAGCTTCTAGTGCCTGATGCTCTATTATTAGTTTCTCTCTGTAGTGGTCAGTTCAGGTTGCATGTGATATTCCTCATATATATATATATGTATATGTATATGTGTGTGTATGTATATATGTGTATATATATACTTGTGTGTGTGTGTGTGTGTGTGTGTATATATATATATATATATATATATATAGGCATGTGATATTCTTGACATTGGAGAGAGCTTTACCTCTGTGGTGGCCAGTTATCTGCTTTGCCTCACTTCTATCCCTGGTCAAACTTCTCAGAAATGCTGATCCCAGAGAGAGGGGCTAAGGGAAAGCAGATGAACCACCACAAAAGCAGCTTCCTAAAACCACCCTACCAATAGGTGGATTTTTCTACAACAACAATTGTTTAGCTCATACGCATGGCTTCAGAATTTTGGAGGGATTAGAATGACTGTGCCTGTAAATCTAGAGAAGCACGCCCTGCTATGAAGGAATTGGGTTCTTTCCTTCTCTCTGTTCCTCGGTGCCAAACAGGACAGTACCTGGCCCAGTTTCCACACTCCATTAATCATGGTTGTGCTGATTCTGAAATGAATTCCCTGCTTTTCTGACTAGTGACCAACAGAATTTTCGGGCCATTTGTTAACAGGAGAAGCATTTGAGATGATTCCTGAACTTGAAGAGCTAAATTTGTCTTGGAACAGTAAAGTGGGAGGAAATTTGCCTCTGATCCTTCAGAAGTTCCAAAAAGGGAGCAAGATACAAATGATTGAGCTTGTGGATTGCTCCCTCACGTCAGAAGATGGGACATTTCTGGGTAAGTGGAATTTGAAGAGAAAAAAAAAAAGTGAAGATGCCCACTGGATAGCTTGGGAAGTTTGCTGTGTTTTGTCTTATTCTGAATTTAAAGAAGGGTATGTAGGAGGGGAGTGGAGTTTTACGTCACGATATCCCCAGGTGATGTAAAACTCCACTCCCCTCCTACCTACCCTTCTTATTTGGATTTCTTTCCTTCTAGGTCAACTGCTACCTATGCTGCAAAGTCTCGAAGTACTTGATCTTTCCATTAACAGAGACATTGTTGGCAGTCTGAACAGTATTGCTCAGGGATTAAAAAGCACCTCAAATCTGAAAGTACTGAAGTTACATTCATGTGGATTATCACAAAAGAGTGTCAAAATATTGGGTGAGTTAACAATGGCTGGATTTAAGATTACATGTATAATTATATATGATATACATATAAATATATATATTGAAAAGTTACTAGGAAATATAGCAAAATATAAACAGTGGTTGTGCTGGGGAATAAGATTATGGGTAATTGAAATCTCCTTTAGGCTGGGCACAGTGGCTTACATCTGCAATCCCAGCACTTTGGGAGGCTGAGGCAGGCGGATCACTTGAGATCAGGAGTTTGAGACCAGCCTGGCCAACATGGTGAAACCCCATCTCTACTAAAAATACAAAAATTAGTTGGGCGTGGTGGTACGTGCGCCTGTAATCCCAGCTACTTGGGAGGCTGAGGCAGGAGAAATTGCTTGAACTCAGGAGGTGAGGTTGCAGCGAGCCGATGTGGGTGACAGAAGAGACTCCATCTCAAAAATATATACATATTTTATATTTTATTTATTTTCTAAATATTTTATAGAGAACATACACTTTCATGATTATAAAAATAAGCCTTTAGTATGACTGACTCTGAAAAGGCCAGTATATTTTAGGTTAAGATAAACACTGGGAAAAATAAAGTTTCTTTGCTGCTAGAACTACTAGGTTTTCTCTTTTGAAAGTGTCAGCATTATTTTATGCTCAGTAGTAGGAAGGAATAGGTACTGATAAAAAGAACGGCTTCGATGGCGTCCACAGTTAAAACTTACTCCTCTGTATATAGTATCCATATTAACAGAGAATAGGAAATGATATTGTGTTTCCCCTTCAACTTACAGAACCTGTAATATTCACTGGCAGCTTGAATAAGTCTAAAAATCTATGTAAACTCCAATGCTCAAGTGTAATAGGAGAGGATGCTCAAGTGTAGTTGCAGGATTCATGTCAAAACCCTTGGCAATGTATGCAGATCTTAGGAAGCGTGTGTGTGAAATCATGGTCGGGTTCACAGAAGGCCAGATGGTAGGAAGTCTACACTTATTCCTCCTTTTGTCTTTTGTGAACACAGTGTGTTCCCTCAACCTCCCTTACTGCACCATGGCCCCACCCCTGTTCCACACCTTCTTACCACCTTGCGATATGTCAGAATGGTAGCAGAGATGGGGTTTCACCATCTTGGCCAGGCTGGTCTTGAACTCCTGACCCTGTGATCCACCCTCTCAGCCTCCCAAAGTCCTAGGATTACAGATGGGAGTCATCACGCCCAGCCCGGTTTTTCTTTTTTTAAGAGATGGATCTCACTATGCTGCCCAAGCTGGACTCGAACTCCGGGGCTCAAGCAATCCTCCTGCCTTGGTCTCCCTAGCAGCTGGGACTATAGGTACACCACTGTGTCCAGCTACCAGAATGGGATTCTGACTTTCTTTGTAGATGCTGCTTTTAGGTATTTGGGTGAGCTGAGGAAATTAGATCTTTCCTGCAATAAGGATCTAGGTGGAGGTTTTGAAGACTCGCCGGCTCAGTTGGTCATGCTAAAGCATCTACAAGTCCTAGATCTTCACCAGTGCTCACTAACAGCAGATGACGTGATGTCACTGAGTAAGTATATATTGCAGAGCAAAGGAAAGACTTTTGGAATCTTGGCCTATATTTGGAAACTTGGAAATTTTAATATGTACACTTAAATTTACTTCTTTTGAAGTTATTGGAAAGATCAATTCATAACAGTTCTGTGAGTGCCCCAATGTAGTACTTGGCATGTATTAAACGCCCAGTAAATGTTAGTGAATCTCAGTTCCACCCATACATGTCTGCAAATGATAGATTTGGCACTTAGGGAAAATTTTGAATTTATGTTGCTGTTTAGAAATAAATCTCTTAGTGTCACAAAGTTGATTACAAACAGGTTACATACCTGTAACCAAACGTCAACACAAAGGGTATCGAGGCTTTCTGAATAACAAGTGAAGTGAAGCCACTCAGATACAAATGAAGTTACAGAAAAAGAGTCAGCAGGGTGGCGCGTGATGGCTGTACGTTACTGCTTTGGGCAACTACACTTATTTTCCTACTGCAAACATAGTTCTGTAATTACAACATGTAATATATAAATGCAATTTCCCATAACAGAGCAAGCGTAGCCTTGAGATTAAGGGTTTTATCCCACCTGTGGCCACAATAAGCCTTCAATGTACATCCAGCATCTGACCATGGCTCACCATCTAGACCTCCACTACCCTGGTCCAGGCCACGGTTATCTCATGCTTAGATTATTGCAAGAGCCCAAATGGTCTCCCTGTCCTCTAACACTCTGACTTCATTCACTCCCCCTCCTCCTCACAGACTCCACCCTGGCCACTGCCCTTGCTGATTCTCAGACACGCCAGGCATGCTCTGGCCTTGGGCCCTTTGCCCATGCTCTCTCTCCCCAGGTCATGGGCAATTCCAGGCTAGAGGTGTCTCGTTTGGCATCTCCCCACTGCTCAAGCACAGGCACCTGCACATGGTTGGCACCAAGTAAATGCATGTTGAATATGTGAATGAATGAATGAATGAGTGTACAATGAGAATAAAAGTAAGTTTCTGGTTGTTTATAGTACAATTTGGGGAGGAAGACCGTAAAATATGTTTCTAGGTCTAATACATCTATCTTTTTAAACCTGCTAAATTATCTTTCAGACTCTTATCTCTCAATTTGGGAAAATGGGAAGAATTCAAGACTTTCATGAAGATTTTAAAATGACAAAATAATCCCTTTTTGAGCTTTGCGTGGAGCATTATGGGTTCCTACCATCCCCTTTACTTATCATAGCCTGAGCGTCATACCTAGGAAGACATTCAGAGTTATTAGCCCACCAGATTCCCTTGGTACAACTAAATAACATGAATACCACATCTCATTTTGCTCCTCAGTGCTGGAGAACCTCAATTGTTCCCACTAGTATAACGGAGGACTAAGCTTTCCTTACCTAGGTTCACAGCCACTGACATGGGTGAATGGCCCTGGAAAACTAATAATTATTTGATAACTGTAATGAATTGCATTGCTTTCCTTCTGCTTAATTCTGAAAAGATGGAAATGAAAATACATCCTGCTTTGTACTTTACGCTGTTAAATAATTGAACATTCTTTTATCCGATCATTGTAAATTGCTCCAAAGAAATGGAATTATAGATCCTTTAAGCAATAACTACTGATGAATCCTCTAATGGTGTGGGGCACCGTGCCAGGGGCTACAGAAAATCCCAACTCTCAGGGAGCTTCGGTATGGCAAGGGCAGGAGTAAACCGATGCATACCCAAACTACATGGTGAAATACAAAGTGCTGAGGGGGTTGGAAGAGGGAGAAATAGTTACACCTGTTGACTTTACAAGTGCCCATCTATCTGCCTTCCCTGCCTTTCCCCTTTCTTTCCCCTGACCTCTCTCCCTTCTCCCACAAACATTTGTACCTCTGATGTTTCAGGTACTGATTCCCATTCTGGGAGTGAGATAGTTCCTATAACGCAGAGCTTGCCTTTAGTGAGGGAAGACAGAAAACAAATATATCAACAAGAAAATATCACATAATGCTGGGTGCTGTGAAAATAAAATATGGTGATGTGATAGTGACCAAGGGGTTACTTTGGTGTGGGTGACCCTGGAAGGCTTCAAGGAGGTAAGCCAGCTTTGTAGAGATCCAGCATACTGCATTTTCTGCCTTGGTAATAGTTGGGGCAAAGGCCAGAGAAGTAGCCAAAAGATAGCGAACGAGGGTAATTCCTAGCTGGGCCCCTCAGGACCCAGTGCCGTTACCAATAGGTGTCTGTTCTGATGGCTTGTTTTCATTGCCTTACTGGTACTTACATTCTGAGAAAAGAATTATAATTTCAAACATTAATTGAGCAGTTAGTATGTGCCAGGCACTATACCAAGCACTTTACCTTTACCAAGTCATTTTACCTTCCCAATGACCACTTGAAATAGAGAAGGCTAAGAGTTTTTTTTTTTTTTTTTTTTTTTTTTTTTGAGACGGAGTCTCACTCTGTCGCCCGGGCTGGAGTGCAGTGGCGCAATCTCGGCTCACTGCAAGCTCCGCCTCCCGGGTTCACGCCATTCTCCTGTCTCAGCCTCCCGAGTAGCTGGAACTACAGGCGCCCGCCACTGCGCCCGGCTAATTTTTTTTTTTTTTTTTTTAGTAGAGACGGAGTTTCACCGTGTTAGCCAGGATGGTCTCGATCTCCTGACCTCGTGATCCACCCGCCTCAGCCTCCCAAAGTGCTGGGATTACAGGCAGTGAGCCACTGTGCCCTGCCGAGAGGGCTAAGAGTATTAGAGTTGAGAAGGCTAAGGTTCAGAGACGTTAATTAACTTGTCCAAAATCACACAGTTCTTTAGTAGCAGATCCAAGATCTACTTCTCTGTCTCCACAGCCTTTGCTCTTCTAGCCTGAAAAGGGGCTTGGAAGTAAGAAAGCCCAAGCAGCATGCTGGGAAGAGGCTGGTTTGGGGTGTATAAAGGAGGGAGGGCCGGGGTGGGGAGAGCTGTATTGACTGACAGATTAAACAGATTGTGGGAACCAAACACCCAGAAGACTCCCTGTGAGATGGTGCCTAAAACATGTCACTGTTGATATTTTTAACAGCCCAGGTCATTCCTTTACTTTCAAATCTTCAAGAATTGGATTTATCAGCCAACAAAAAGATGGGCAGTTCTTCTGAAAACTTACTCAGCAGGCTCCGATTTTTACCAGCATTGAAGTCATTAGTTATCAACAACTGTGCTTTGGAGAGTGAGACTTTTACAGCTCTTGGTAAGAGATTTCCCAGATCCCTGCAGGAACCATGCAATAATGTGCGAGGGAGACTTCTTTTTCCCTGCATTTCATTCCAAGGCTCAGCCAGTTTGCGAAGTACTAATTTGTCTTCTTTTCAGGACATATGCCTTCTTAAAAGTGACCTTCTGAAAGTCCATAAAAATGATTCTAGTATGTGCAGGGTTTTTTTTGTTGTTGTTGTTTGTATTTTGAGACAGATTGTCACCCAGACTGGAGTGCAGTGGCGCGACCTTGGCTCACTGCAACCTCCGCTTCCCAGGTTTAAGTGATTCTCCTGCCTCAGCCTCCTGAGTAGCTGGGATCACAGGTGCACGTCACCATACCTGACTAATTTTTGTATTTTTAGTAGAGACAGGGTTTCACCGTGTTGTCCAGCCTGGTCTCAAACTCCTGACTTCAAGTGATCCACCCTCCTGGTGGATCATGCCCACCTGCAGGACATGGTGAGGATCTGGGATCTGATGGGAAAGTGAGCCATTTACTAGAGTGTGAGCCTAGCTAACTGCCAAGCAATCACTCCCAACAGGATTTATGTGCTGTCTGAGGAATCTGGGTATGCCTTAAGGTCACAGATATACCCCAGCCTACATCAGGAACCTACTGAATCTGAAAGTTCTGCCCATTTGGTGACAAGTTTAGTGTCAGCAAGTAAAGGGAGGTGGTGTTGGGGACCCCAGCACTGTGTGCACAAACTACTGTTTCCCTGGGTGATGGATTTGGAAAAGTGCTACCAAGTCTCTTTGTTTCAAAATATCTCCTCTTACTTGCTGACACTGCACTTGTCACCAAGTGGGCAGAACTTAACAACTGACATTTATTGAGCATATCCTATGTGCCAGGCCCCTTTCCAAGAACTTTACATGCATTCACCAATTTAACTCTTATAACTGTATAAGGCATGTGCCATTGTTCCATTTTATATTTTGCAGACAAGGAAACTGAAGCACAGAGATGTTAAGTACATGAGGTAACCCAAGGTCATAAGAGCCAGAGGCAGGATTTGATTTCAGGAAGTCTAATTCCAGATGTTTTGCATACAGAAAATGTACCATACTCTTCCCCACAGAATAACTGTAATCAGTTTTAGGGAGCTCACAGGCACCCCTTCAAGCATACCTAGACTTGTCTGGTGGGTCCATGGGCCCTAGAACAGCAGGGCTGAAGGCTACGTATCCTGGGACTTTTCCCCATCCAGACATGTGGACAATGGGATGAATGATGCTGAGGGAGTGCTGGGAGCAGGACATGGTGAGGACCAAGTCTATGCGAGCTGAGCAAAATACTCGAGCTGAGCAAAATACTCAGGCTGAGCCAAATACTCAGGCCGAAAAGGAGGGCAAGAATGCCCTAAATATAGAGTTCTTCAAATTTGGGGGTAAATAATATGCATTTATTTTTATTAATGTATAATAATAATTACTCATTTTTATGAATTTAATGCATTTATTTCATTAATAATAGCCCTTGTCTGGTGGACAGTACAATTCATTTTTAAGGAAGTGCCAACTGATAAAAAACACTGGTGAGAGGGTTGGAGAGAAGGACTCTGTTTTTAGCATTATCCAGGAAGCACCCAAATCCAGCAACTCCAATCACGTGTATGGGGGCAAAAAAGAGTTAACGTAGCAGGCCTGATGCTGCTATCCCTGTAAAGGCCTGCTATCAACCAGTAAGGCTGGCCCTTAGCTAATATCCCAGAACTTGGAATCTGGGGGTGTTCATACCATTTCCTAACTGAGAAGGGTGGTTTACTGTGCCTAACCTGTTTGCACAGACAACATGGTTTATGCTGAACATGAGCTTTTCTTTTGTGAGGATGGAATTTTGGTGTATGCTGAGCGGAGGGTAGCTAGATGACTAACCCCCAGTAGAGAACCGTGGACTTGGGTCAGGCACAGTGGCTCACACCTGTAATCCCAGTACTTTGGGAGGGTCTTGCTCTGCTGCCCAGGCTGGAGTGCAGTGGCACTATCATGGCTCACTGTAGCCTTGAACTCCTGGGATCAAGTGATTATGCCATCTCAGCCTCCTCAGTAGCTTCTGGGTCTATAGGAACATGCCACCACACCTGGCCAATTTTTGTATTTTTGGTAGAGATAGAGTTTTACCATGTTGCCCATTCTGGGAAAATATTTTTTTTTTAAAGGAATTGCAGCCATTAGAAGGCACAGCTGTTTCTAATTCTAGCTGCACAATCAATGAATCATGATCAACTAGGTATCACACTAAATTATATCATCTGACATAAATCTACCATTCAATTTGAATTAAGTAAATGAAGCAAATATATATTTCCCTACATCACTTTTAGAAGAAAAAGTTCCATTTCTCCTTAATGTAGATCTCTGTAAGGATTTTCTTACTAGATATTATAAAAGGATATATATTTTCCCCTTGAACACATTATTTTCTAGAAGGAAGGCAGAATAGATTAAAGTGCAATTAACTTGGGAATAAGATATTCTGGTTAATTTTAACATTGGGGGCAACTGAGAATTAAGCAGAAAATCTTTTACTTTTCTTTAAAAATCTTTCCAAAATACATTAGTTACTTTCCTTGCCTGCAGTAATTGCGTGAAGTAAATACAAATAAGTTTTGGTATTTCAGACTCTGAGGGAGGCTTGCCCCCATCTGAATCTCAGCAGTGACTGTGCAGTGAAATATGTACCAACCAGGACACATTCTGGAAATCTTGACTAGCTGTCCAAGCACTTTGCCTCTTTCTCCTTCCTACATGTGAAGTGAAGGAAAGAAACCCCAGTTGGACAGTGAATTCCAATTTATCAAGTTTTGCATTGCTAAAGTTTCCAATATTTCCCCAAATAAAAACAGACAACAGGCTGGGCGCGGTGGTTCACGCCTGTAATCCCAGTACTTCGGGAGGCCAAGGCTGGCGGATCCTGAGTCAGGAGATCGAGACCATCCTGGGCAACATGGTGAAACAGCGTCTCTATTAAAATACAAAAATAATTAGCTGGGTGTGGTGGCACGCACATGTAGCCCCAGCTGCTCGAGAGGCTGAGGCAGGGGAATCACTTGAACCCGGGAGGCGGAGGTTGCAGTGAGCCAAGATCGCGCCACTGCACTCCAGCCTGGTGACAGAGCAAGGCTCTGTCTCAAAACAAAAAACAAAAAACAGACAACATAAATTGAGGCCATAAATTTAAGGCAGAAGAAAATGGTCTCTACAACTTTCTCAACCCCAGTTATATTCATGTGTTGTCCTAGACCAGTTTCCTCAAATCCAAAGCCTATGATCTGTAAGAAATCCTAAATTACTGCTGTTCGTATTGTTATCACTTTTAGCTGAAGCCTCTGTTCACCTCTCTGCTCTGGAAGTATTCAACCTTTCTTGGAACAAGTGTGTTGGTGGCAACTTGAAGCTGCTTCTGGAAACACTAAAGCTTTCCATGTCTCTTCAAGTGCTGAGGCTGAGCAGCTGTTCCCTGGTGACAGAGGATGTGGCTCTCCTGGGTGTGTATCTACTTGTTCCCAAGCGGTCTTGGCAAACAGAGCAGTGGGTGCGGCCCCTGCAAAGCACCAGGTGGGGAGGTGGGGGAGGTACCAGACCTGGGGTGAAGCCCTCTGTGCAGATTCCCTTCTCACCAACATCTGCCGAGAGGTCTAATTAAAATGAGCGAAGGCAATTCTAAAACCACATGACAGTGGAAGGCATTTCCTAAAAGGATATGGATATAGATAGGTGGGGAGGTTCCTGAAAGGCAAACAGCTCTGTTCCACACCTCCGCGGTCCGTGAGTGTTCCCACTTCAGTCATCTACATCTCACCCATCCACATGGTTCCAGCACTATTGCTTAACTTTTCCTTTAAATTGACTCTTTAATTTAAATGCTTTTATTTAAACAGGAAACTGATTATCACTGTAACTGAAATACAGGTATCACTTCTCACAGATACTAGACTGCTGATGGCTTTGATTAGAGGCTCCTCTCTATTAGAAAAAGATGAGAGGGTTAAAGGCATACTGTAGTAACAATCTGACCCTTTTTCCATGTCAGTCTAGAAAGATGGAAAGATAATTGAATAAGGAATAACTTTTGCACTGTGGGATTGAGGCTACCCAAATATTCCCTAAAATCATTTTATGTGTCTGGGCACGGTGGCTCACGCCTATAATCCCAACGCTTTGGGAGGCCGAGGCTGGCGGATCACTTGAGGTCAGGAGTTCAAGACCAGCCTGACCAACATGAAGAAACCCCATCTCTACTAAAAATACAAAATTAGCAGGACATGGTGGCACATGCCTGTAATCCCAGCTACTCGGGAGGCTGAGGCAGGAGAATCACTTGAACCTGGGCGGCCGAGGTTGCAGTGAGCTGAGATCGTGCCACTGCACTCCAGCCTGGGCAGCAGGGGCGAAACTCCTTCTCAAAAAACAAAACAAAACAAAATAAAAAACTCATTCTATGTTTCCACTTTCCCATTATAAAACAATGAATCAGAGAGTACTCTCTCTGGCTCCCATCTAGCCTTGTCCCCACACTCCAATCACTATTCAGCCGGAATTCCAAAGCAATGAGCGCGCCTCCCAATGAAGGGCCAGAACAGTCACTCCAGGTAGTTGTATCTGTGTTCTCAGTGTATATATTAGTCAGTTTTGCTATGACACGGCACATGGGCCTAAAAATCATGTGTTATGCAAGAATTATTCAGTAATAACCACAGGACTTACGGTTGGAAGCACCGCACTCAAACACTTCATCAGTGGCATATTTTAAAAAACAGAAGCTATGAAAAATAGCAATACAGTTTTACATATTAAATAGTTAAGAAATGAGCAAATATTACATTTTCCCGAGAAAGACCTGAAGTTTGTAGAAGTGGCCTGTCCACACTTCCATTGGTGGAAAGAGGGTGTGTGGAGAGATGAGGGTTGTTGTCCTCATGAGGTGTGTGCATGTCTGCATTTTCTTTCTTTTTTTTTTTAGACAGAGTTTCACTCTGTCACCCAGGCTGGAATGAAGTAGCATGATCTTGGCTCACTGCAACCTCCGCCTGCCATGTTCAACAGATTCTCCTGCCTCAGCCTCCTGAGTAGCTGGGATTAGAGGCATGCCACCACGCCTGGCTAATTTTTGTATTTTTGGTAGAGACGGGGTTTCGCCCTGTTGGCCAGGCTGGTCTCAAACACCTGACCTCAGGTGATCCACCCGCCTAGGCTTCCCAAAATGCTGGGATTACAGGCGTGAGCCACCGTGCCCAGGCTGTTTATTTCTATATGCAGCTCAATTCAGCTGGGGACAGTTTTATATGTTCACCTAGTGTTTCCTGTGGACAAATTGTGTGCATAATGCAAACAAGAAATTTGCATTATACTCAGATTGTTTCCTGACATTTCAATCTCATTGAAATAAACTTGTGTTTTCAAAACAAGTGTTATAGCAAAAATGATTGTAATTAGAAGATGGGGACAAAACATTGTGATTTTAATTCGCATTTCCCTAATGACCAATGATGTCAAACATCTTTTTATGTGTGTATTTTCATTTCTTAGCTCCTTTGGTGAAATGTCTGTTCTAAATCTTTTGCCTGATTTAAAAAATTGGATTGTTTGTTTTCTTATTGATGAGTTTGGAGAGTTTTTTAGATTTTTCTGAATACAAGTAAGTCCTTTATCAGAAATATAATTTGCTATTATTTTCTCTGGGTCTGTCCCACTGGCTTTTTCATTCTCTTGATAGTGTTTTTTTGCAGATCAAAGCTTTCAGTTTTGATAAAGATTTATCAATTTGTTAATTTGATGAATAGAGTTTTTTTGTGTTGCATCTTAGAGCGTTTTGCAAATCTAAGTTCTCAAAGATTTTTTCCATATTTTTGTCTTAAAGCTTTGTATTTGCATTTTATATTTTGACCTATTACCTATTTTGAGTTAATTTTTATATAAGGTATGAGGTATGGGTAGAGGTTAATATTTTTGCATATTACTGTCCAATTATTTGAGTGCCATTAACTGAAAAGACTATCCATTCTCCATTGATTTGCCTTTATATTTTTGTGAAAAATCAATTGGCCATATTTGTGATGGCCTACTTCTGGTCTCTCAGTTCTGTTCTATTGATCTCTGTGTCTCTTATTTTACCAATATCACGCTGTCTTGATTGCTGAAACTTTATAGTAAGTCTTGAAATGAAGTAGTATAAGTATTCTTTGTTTCTTTTTCAAAATTGTTTTGGTTATTCTAGTTACTTAGCATTTCCATTTAAAGCTAGCATCAGATTGTCAATATCTATTTTAAAAATCCATCTGGAAATTTTATTGGGATTACATTGAATTTATAGATCAATTCAGGGAGAAATGACATCTTAACAATATTGAGTATTCCAATCCATGAACACAGTCTATCTCTGTATTTAAGTACTCTTTGATTTCTTTCACTGGTGTTTTCTAGTTTTTATATTTTGTTAAATTTATATCTGAGTGTTTAATTTTTGTTCTCTTATAAAAGATACTGTTTAATTTTAGATTCCCAATGTTACGTGGATATATAATTGATTTTTGTATATTGACATTTTACTGCAAACTTGCTAAACTCATCTGTTAGCTGTAGGATATTTTTGGTAGATCCTGTAGGATTTTCTATATAGATAATCATATCATCTATGATTAGAGACAGGTTTTGTTTTGTTTTTTTTTTTTTTTTTTGAGATGGAGTCTCATTCTGTCACCAGGCTGGAGTGCAGTGGCATGATCTCGGCTCACCACAACTTCCGACTCCTGGGTTCAAGCGATTCTCCTGCCTCAGCCTGCTGAGTAGCTGGGACTACAGGCATGTGCCACCACTCCCAGCTAGTTTTTGTGTTTTTAATACAGACGGGGTTTCACCATGTTGGTCAGGATAGTCTCGATCTCCTGACCTCGTGATCTGCCTGCCTCAGCCTCCCAAAGTGCTGGGATTACAGGCGTGAGCCACTGTGCCCGGCCTAGAGACAGATTTATTTCTTTATCTCTGTGTATCTTTTCTTTCTTTTTCTTGGTTATTTAGCTGGCTAGATTTCCAATAGATGTTGAATGAGATGAGAGCATTCTTGCCTTGCTTCCAGTCTTAGTCCCCTAAGCTAAGGGGAAAAGCATTCCATTTTTCACCATTAAGTATGATGTTAGCTATAGGTTTTTTTGTAGCTACCCTTTATCAGGTTAAGGAATCCTAATTTGCTAAGAGTTCTTATAACGAATTTTGTCAAATTATATTTTTCTGCATCTATTGAGATGAGCATTTAAAAAAACTATAGTTCATTAATATTCATAATAATAATGAATGATAATAATTAATAATATTAGCTGATTTTTTAATGTTAAATCAGCCTGGTCATGGTCATTATGTATTATCTTGTTTATATAGCGTTGGATGTTATTTGCTAATATTCTGTTGAGGATATTTGTGCCTATGTTCACAAGGGGATAATAGTCTACTGGTTTTCTTATAATGTCTTTGTCTGGCTTTGTTATGAGGGTATAGGTAGCCTCATACAATGAGTTGGAAAGTGTTCCTTCCTCTTTTATTTTCCAGAAAGATTGTGTAAAATTGGTATTATTTATTGCTCAACTGTTTCACAGAATTCACCACTGAAGCCATCTAAACTTGGAATTTTCTTTGTGGGATATTTTAAATTACGAATTCAATTTAAAAAATAGAGATAGAAAAAAAATAGAGCTAGGACTATTCCAGTTGTCTATTTCTTCTTAAGCAAGTTCTGATAGTGTCTTTTAAGAAATTGGCCCATTTCATCTAGGTTGTTGAATTTATGGAAATAAAGTTGTTTCCTTGTTATCCTTTTACTGCCCATAGTGATACCACCTGTCTCATTCCTGATATTGATAATTTGTGTTTCTATCTCTTTATTCTTGGCTAGTCTGACCAAAGGTATTAGTTTTCTGTTGCTGTGTAACATGTTAATTTGTGGATTAAAACAATATCCATGTATTTGTTCACAGTTCTTTTTAAAAGCTTATATAAATGTGAGGGGCACCAGTGCAGTTTTGTTCCATGCGTATATTGTAGTGGTGAAGTCTGGGGTGCTGATGTAACCATCACCCAAATGAATAATGCATCATTAAGTAATTTCTCATCCCTCACCCGGCTCACAGTTCTGTAGGTAAGAAGTCTGACACAGCTTGTGTCGGTTCTCTGTGTAGGGTATTACAACACTAAAATCAAGGTGTCAGCCTGGCTGAGTTCTCATCTGAAGGCTCTAGGAATAAATCCACTTTCAAGCTCATTCTTGTTGACAGAGTCGAGGACCTTGCAGCTTTAGGACTGAGGGTCCCGTTTTCTTGCTAGCTCTCAGCTGGGGGCTGCTGTCAGCTACTAGAGGCCAGCCACATTCCTTGATACATGGCCCCTCATTTTCAAGACAGGAGTGGATTGTCCGTGCCTCTCACACTTTAAATCTCTCTGACTTCTGTGACTTCCTTCCTCTTCTGCCAGCAGTAGGAGGAAATTCTCTCTGCTTTTAAAGGGCTCATGTGATTAGGTTGACTCCATATGGATAATCTCCCTTTCTTAAAGTCAGGTGTGCCATATAGCCTAAGCTAATTCTGGGAGCAAAATCTACCACATTCAGTCCTGGGGATACAATGGAAATCTTAAGGTGGCTATTTAGAATTCTGACTACTGCAAGGGGTTTATTGATGTTGTGTCTTCTAAAAAATAAGCTTTTGATTTTTATTTATTTATTTCTCTGAATTAGACACCATTAAATATATTTAAGTTATTTTATTTAATGTTTATAATTAAAATTTGCTTCTTCATTTCGGTCTTTTTTATTTTTGTCTGCATCAAATTTTATTCACCATGTCTTCAGCCATTGTATATTTTTTCTTAATTTTTACTGACAGTTTTTTTCTCAGGTCAAATTTATACTTTTACATTTTATCAGGGTATATTTTCCTTCTTTGAATTTTTACTCAATAACAAGTATTACAGGCCAGGCATGGTGGCTCACGCCTGTAATCCCAGCACTTTGAGAGGACAAGGCAGGTGGATCACCTGAGGTCAGGAGTTCGAGACCAGCCTGGCCAACATGGTGAAACCCTGTCTCTACTAAAAGTACACAAATTAGCTGGGCATGGTGGCAGGTGCCTGTAATCCCAGCTACTCGAGAGGCTGAGGCAGGAGGATCACTTGAACCCGGGAGATGGAGGTTGCAGTGAGCTGAGATTGCGCCATTGCACTCCAGCCTGGGCAAGAGAGCAGACTCCATCTCAAAAAAACAAAAACAACAACAGCAACAAAAAACAAGTATTACTATATGTGGTTTTAGCAATTGTCACTTTTATATTTTTTCTAATAGAAACATTAAAAATTTGTTAATCACTAGCTTATATACATTTTAAAAATAATTAATGGCATTTATTTTTTCATACAGTAAACTATAAAGAGTATACCCATGGCCTACATTTCCCCTACCTAGATTTTTTAAAATGTAATAAATCTAAAATAATAAAATATAATAAAATAGGGTGCTCACATTATAAAATCCAAACAAAAAATAAATTTATTTATTTATGTATTTTATTTTATTTTTTTCTGAGAGGGAGTCTTGCTGTGTCACCCAGGCTAGAGTGCAGTGGCACGATCTTGGTTCACTGCAACCTCCACCTCCTGGGTTCAAGCAATTCTCCTACCTCAGCCTCCCGAGTAGCTGGGATTACAGGTGCCCGCCACCATGCCCAGCTCATTTTTGTATTTTTAGTAGAGACGGGGTTTCACTATCTTGGCCAGGCTGGTCTCGAACTCCTGACCTGGTGATCCACTCACCTCAGCCTCCCAAAGTGCTGGTATTACAGGTGTGAGCCACCACACCCAGCCTAAAATGTGTTTTTAAAAAACAAAAAAGTAGAAGAAAGGGGACTAGATGAGGCAAGATTGATGTAATGAAGATAATGTTGAAGTTGAATGATGGGTACATGGTGGTCCACTTTCTCCTATTCTCTCTACTTTTTGTGTTTGAAAATTTTCATAATACAACATTTTTTAAAAGAGAAAAAGCGTGCACATTGTTTTAACAGTTAGGTCTTGAGAATATTATGATTAATGTTGCGAGACAGGAAGGGAGACACACACTGACATGAACACCTAGAGACAGAGTGCAGCTGTTGTGTGCACGGGTGGCTGAGCTCTCAAATTCACTGTGGAATCAAACTGTTGGCAAGTGAAAGTGATGGAGTTGGAGCATCCTCCTTGATCTGAAAGCCATGCGTGTGAGGAAAGACTGAAAGACCAGGGCATGTTCAGTCCTACAGGGATAAAGTTTAAGGGAGACCTGGCTGTTGTCCAACACTGCAGGGCTGCCAGGAGGAAGAAGGAGCTGAATGTTACAGCTGACTGATTGGGGCACTGGGTGAAAGACACCAGAAGATAGATTGGGGCCCTGTGGGAGGGCTTCCTCCCGCTAGGAGCTGCTCCATAATGCTGGGGCAAACTTGAAAGAACAGTTCAGCCAGAATTGTGGTGGTCATGAGTAGAGAGGCTGTGAAAAGGATTTCTCTCTGATTATTGATTAGGAGGTTGGATAAGGAGACTTCCAAGATCCCTTGCAACGCTGAGATTCTATACAACCCACCTGATCTCTGCAATCCATTCCTGGGTTTGGTTGAAAAGGGAAGCATGTCCCATTTTCCGTGGTTATCTCTCCTGCCTCCTCTTACAGAAGTCTTTATTTCATCATTAACTTATTTATTTTCTGATCAAATAGCTCAGATTGTACATTAGTCATCATTTTTAAGTGCCATTGTAGGTAGTACTGATATGTTCTATTCAAAAGGAAAACTGTCACATGTATTGGGGTCTCTAAGGTGAATTGGAAATTATCCAGGTATGTTCTGCATATGGAAAATGCTCATTTAAATAATTGCTGGATGAAGAAGTACTGAATGAATGAAAATGAACAATTAAAGCAGCAAGATGATTATTTACAAATGGTCCTTAGTTAAAGCCAATGAGCCATCACTCTTTACATTTAATTAGAGAAAATCTGTAGGAAGAGCTCGGACTTCAGTGGAACAGAGAGCAGGAACTTGACAAAAAAAAATTATTGGGTTGAGATTTGGAAAAAGAAATAAAAAAAGCTGTAGATGGGATGTACAGAGAGGAAATCTGTTACTAATTTCAGATGTCCTGAATAAAGCTGCTAATAACAAATCATTACTAATTACTAATCTTGTCATTACTATTCCTGGAGATAGTGTTATGGGAAATGGGAATAGCCATGGCAGACAGTATTCTTGTATGTTAGCATTTAGAGTGATTCTGTTTTCCAGCATCGGTCATACAGACGGGTCATCTGGCCAAACTGCAAAAGCTGGACCTGAGCTACAATGACAGCATCTGTGATGCGGGGTGGACCATGTTCTGCCAAAACGTGCGGTTCCTCAAAGAGCTAATCGAGCTGGATATTAGCCTTCGACCATCAAATTTTCGAGATTGTGGACAATGGTTTAGACACTTGTTATATGCTGTGACCAAGCTTCCTCAGATCACTGAGATAGGAATGAAAAGATGGATTCTCCCAGCTTCACAGGAGGAAGAACTAGAATGCTTTGACCAAGATAAAAAAAGAAGCATTCACTTTGACCATGGTGGGTTTCAGTAAACTGATTTCCCATGTCCTACTAAGCTACAAACCATTCTCCAAAGGAAAAGAACATGAACGAATTCCAGAGTCATGAACTGAATTTCAACTTCTGGGCCATTTAATGGGACTTATATTACAAGAGCTTTGTAAATATATATATATATTACATATATATATGTAATATACATATATACACATATATATAATATACATATATAATACACATATATATGTAAATATATATATAATATCTAATATGAGCATGCCATTATTCTCTGTCTATGAAACAAAAATGGCATTTTTCAATGGATTTGTTTTGGATATATAATTAGTTCATTTGCTGTTTAGAAGCCTTGCCAAAAGTGTTTAGATTTTGGTACTGCAACTGCTTTCCTCTTGCCCAGAAATGTTTTGCCTCTTCTTTTCCTACAAGTTAAATGTTCTAAATATAAAGGGGTATGTGTGTGTGTGTGTAATTCTAATGTGAAAGGCACTAGCTGTCTAATAGTTTCATGTATCATTACTATTACTATATGTATCTTAATGTAGTCTATGTAGGTTTTTATCAGAAAGTGTACCTTTCTATGGTTTATTATTTTATATTCTGGTGCCTTTTATCTCAGATATAAACCATGAACAGTAATGATAGTCACTGACATATAAATCTTAGTAAAAAGTGATTAAAAATCTAAAACTCAGTATGAAAAACATATCTTGTTAGAATAAATTAAAACCTTTTATTGTTTAAAAAATTGTTAACATATTGCCTCCAGGCATTTCTTTGAAATGGAATTTGCTTCATAAAACTAATTTAATTCGTTAATGACAGTTTTGTGTTGCTCTAAACTATTTTTGAAATTTTTGATTTTCTTTTGCTAGAGCATGAAAGTCATTGCATGGCAGAGATGTTTGTCTGCACATTTCTATTCTGACAAGCTCTAGTCAAATTATGTTTTGCTTTCTTCTACTACACTAATAATTAGTATTGCAATCACTGCCTGAAAGACATGCAAATGTAAAATCAACACTACTCCAAATTAAAAGGTTTTCAGGATGAGGAGGTTTTGAATGATGTAAAGGGGATATTTTGGGTTACATGATATAAAAGAATACCATGAATATCATGAGCATTCCCATGCATTCCATGAGTATCTATGCATATGCAAAAACCTATGCATGAATGTTCATAGCAGCTTTGTTCACAATAGCAAAAAAACTAGAAACAATGAGTGAAAGGTTAAACAAACTGTGGGACTATGGAATACTCCTCAGCAACAGAAAGGAACAAACCACTGATACATGCCCCCAGTTCGATAGACTTCAGGTGGATTAGGCTGAATAAAAAAGCCAATCCCAGTTACAAACTGTGTGTTTCCATTTATGTGACATTCCTAAAATGACACAATTATGGATCTGGAGAACAAGTTAGGCATTGGGAGAGGAGTAGGCAGTAGGTATGGCTACAGAGGAATAGCACAAGGGAAACTTGTGGCAATGGAACAATTCTATGTCTTGACTGTGATGGTGGCTGCACAAAACTATATGTGACAAAATTGCATAGGATTACACAAACACACACACACAAATGAGTGCACTGTTGATTGTACCAATGTCAATCTTCTGGTTTTGTTATTGTGCTATAGTTATAAAAGAGGTCAGCGTTGAGGGAGGCTGAGTAGTGCCTGGACCTACCTGAACATTTCTTTGGAACTTCCTGTGAATCTATAATTATTTCACAGTAAAAGTTTTAAAAGTAGGCTGGCTGGGTGCAGTGGCTCACGCATGTAATCCCAGCACTTTGGGAGGCCAAGGCGGGCAGATCACTTGAGGTCAGGAGTTCGAGACCAGCCTGGCCAACATGGTGAAACCCCATCTCTACAAAAAAAATATAAAAGTTAGCCAGGCATGGTGGCATGCACCTGTAGTCCTAGCTACTCGGGAGGCTGAGGCATGAGAATTGTTGGAACCTGGGAAATGGAGGTTGCAGTGACCCAATATTGCACCACTGCATGCCAGCCTGGGCAACAGAGTGAGATCCTGTCTTAAAATAAATAAATAAATAAAAGTAGGCAAATAGTATAAAGAACCCCTGCGTACTCATCACCTTATTCTAGTTATCAATGTACGGCCAATCTTGTTTCACTTGTATTCCTACCCACTTTCCCCTCCCCCTCCCATATTATTTAGAAGCAATTCCAAGGTGTTATATCATTTTATCCATAAATATTTCAGTAAAAGTAAGAATCATTTATTTTTACACATAAGTGTAATTTTATGAATAATTTTAATGTAGTAGGCATCTAATTCCTAGATATTTTGTCTTCTTAATCTATCAAGGTCCATTACCCCAATTTATCAATTTACAGGATTATTTCTTTTTTCCCTTTCCTGGTTTTCCTTTTACATCCTTCTTTCCTTTCTTATCTTTTGGAGAGGTCTTTCCTTTCTTTTGTGGTTTTAGTAGTTCACCGAATTTCCCAAATCCTCTCTGTACCATTGTTCCACGCCACCATGCCTGAATCTGAAAACAAGATAAACCCAAATTCAGCATCGGCTGGTATCACAATGAACTGGAAATTGTTAAATCTCTTTATTCTGATACATGGTCTTGAAGACGTGGAGAGAATGGGATGTGATTAGAACTCTAAATTTTATTTTCTATCTTTCTCAATTGGCTAGGCATTCAGACAAATTTTTTAAAAAATGCATTTATTGTTTTTATGTGCCAGTGCCTGTTCTAGACTTTTGGGCAACAGCAGAGAAATAACTGTCTCAACTTTATGGAGCTCACATTCCAGTGAGGAAGAGACAGTACAAAATAAACACATGAATGTTCAATTTGTCAGACGGTGATGAGTGCTATGGAGAGTGACCGCACATGGTGAGGGGATCTGAGTGCCTACGCCCTGCCTTCCTGCTCCTTACTGGGCTGTCTGTGCTCCTGCCTAAAGCCAGCCCTCACTTGTTCCCTGGATCCTATTCCCTCCTACCTACCCAGCAACACCCTTCCTCTAGCAGCAGACTTGTCCAGTGGCTCCCCATTTCTCTCTGAATAGAAGCCAAAGTCCTTATATGGCTTACAAGGCCCTCTCTGATCTGCCTCCCCAATCCTGACCCCTCTAACCTCTTAACTCCCTTTTCCCTGGCTCACTCTGCTCCAGCCATGCGGGCCTCCTCCCTGCTCAGACACATAGGCACAGTTGTGACTCAGGGCCTGTATATTCGCTGCTTTCTTTGCCTGGAACTCTTCTCAGTATTCAGATGGCTCACCCCTCCGCTGCTTCAAGGATTTGCTTGATTGTCATTGCTACGGACTGAACTGTGTTGCCCCAAATTCATATGCTGAAGTCCTAATCCCCAGTGTGAATGAATTTGGAGAAGGGGCTTTGAGGAGATGATTAGATTTATATGAGGTCATAACAGCAGGGTCCTCATGATGAGATTAGTGGCCTTATAAGGAGAGATATCAGAGAGTTAGCACTCTCTAGTGCAATCTCTCTCTCTCTCTCTCTCTCTTTCTGTTATATGAAGACACAGGGAGAAGTCAGCTTCTACAGGCCAGGAAGAGGGCCTTCACCAGACTCCAATCATGCTGATACTCTGACCTTAGACTTCCAGCCTCCAGAACTGTGAGAAAATACATTTCCATTGTTTAAGCCGCCTGTTCTATGGTATTTTGTTGTGGCAGCCTAAGCTAAGACTGCCATTTTTTCAGTGAGGCCTACTCTGACAATCTTATTTAAATCAACCACTTCTCCACCTCCACACACTACTGGCAATTTCAGTTCCCCTTAGGCTAACTTTTTTTTTTTTTTAAACAGTAGCACTCTCTAACATAGTATTTCATTTTATGTTTTCTATTTCATGCTTTTATTTCCCTCCTACTAGATTTTAAGTACTGTGAGGACATAAATATTTGTTTTGTTCACTGATGTATCTCAATGCTTAGAACAGTGTCTGGTGCATAGTAGAAGCTCAATAAATGTTTGTTGAATGAATGAACAAATGAAAGAGGTGGCTGGGGGTATGCTGTTTTATATAAGGTGGATCAAGGAAGGGCTCTCTGATAAGAGAATGTTTAAGCAGAGATGGAATGAAGTGAGGGCCAGAATCTTGCTCATATCTGGGGAAAGCATCTCTGGGCACAGGAAGAGCCAGTGTTAAGGCCCTGAGCCAGGAACATGCTTGGTCCTTGGAGGAACACCAGATCTGCTTGTGACTGAAGTCCAGTGAGAGTAGGAAAGAGGAGATGGGGAGTGAAAACAGCAGACCAATCGGGATCCAGGGAACAGCACTGCTCTCTAGAGGCATTTTGGAAATTTATGGGGCTTTTTGTTGACTTAAGGTTAAGCAGTCTTCAATTGTGTGGCCTATACCCTGGTCTACAAAGCCTTTCCAACAGTGTGCAGGCATGGATAGGTTGAAGACAGTCCATTTCCTGAGCTCCAGCTTCCATATGTACCCCTTCCTAAAATCATCCCGAGAACATAACTGCAGATCCCCCATCCCAGTTGCCCCTGTGATGCTCCACAGAGGAAGGGCACAGCTTGCACCCACCTGAATCTTACTATGGTGCATTGCCCTGGACTCCAAAAATCATTAGGACACACACACACACACACACACACACACACAGAAAAAGACAATTCAAAGTACAAGTGTTGATGAGAAAATGAATGACTCTAGGGACTGGTTAACCAATCCTTTTGCAAGACAGGTGGTTTCTAATTCTACCTTCAAGAAAAATAAGGGAAGCCTAGTTGACATGTCAGCTAAGACCTGCTATCGATTTGGGGGATATAAATCTGGAAGAAGCTCAGAGATGCATGAATCATTGTTTTTTTAAAATAAAACATTACAGGCAAAAAAAGCTTCTTCTGTTCTCTTTAACTCATCTACGTGAACAAGGTTTCTCAAGGCTTTCATCTGTAAAATGAGAAACAGGAGTAGAATCTATAATCAACCCTGTGTTATTCTAATAATCATCAATATTTATGCATGAATATATAAACTATGCTAAAAAAACCCTCTCATTTTGGTACACTGTTCTAAAAAATCCTATATGTCTAATAATTATTAAAATTTGTAAGAAATTTTATGTTGTTTTAGGTGATTTTATACTAATAGTTGTAATGTATATACATTTTTAAATTTTTAAAATTTAATTTATATAAATATTTTTGTCACCTAGAAGTACAAAAGAGCAATCTATGAAAGACTTATATGTGTATACATAAAACCTTAGGATCAATTTTGAGGGGAAAGTAGAATGGAAGTACATGTTTAAGAAGAAAAGGAATATGATATAAAAATTCTGCCTATAAAATAATAACTTGTTTGAGTATTTGTAAATTGGTGTTGACAAATCATAATGATATTCAGTTTCCACTGGATACATTTAAAATATTGATCTAACAGCTCTATTTTAAAATGTCAACATTTAAAATTCACTGGAAATTACATCCTTTGCAATGATTTAAACTTGTGGCCAACAATGTTAAATATCATTTTAAGAACGTGCAAGAGGGTGCACAGTTTTTCAAAATGCTTTTAGGAAGTATTCAATTAAGAACCACAACTTTCATTCTTTCAAGTGTAATCCATCCTGAGCATATACACACTGAAATAATTTATTCATTTATTTTTGGAGACAGCTGTTGCCCAGGCTGGAGTGCAGTGGCACAATCTAGGCTCACTGTAACCCCCGCCTCCTGGGTTCAAGCGATTCTCCTGCCTCAGCCTCCAGAGTAGCTGGGATTACAGGCACGCACCACCATGCCCAGCTAATTTTTGTATTTTTAGTAGAGACAGGGTTTCACCATGTTGGTCAGGCTGATCTCGAACTCCTGACCTCAAGTGATCCACCCGCCTCAGCCTCCCAAAGTGCTGGGATTACAGGCGAGAGCCACCGCGCCAGGCCTGAAATATATATTTGTATATAAATTACTTTTCTTTCTCCTTTAAATTGTAACTCAGGCGTTATTTTGATTAAAATTATGTCCTTTTGTATGTTTTTATTATCTCTGAATTTATTTTGGAATAGTAAAAGAGGTATTACAAAAGATTTATCATAAAAGGGAGGACATTAGGTCTGATAGGGTTGAGGGCTATTGAGAGGGGGTTTTACGGACTGAAGACTTGACTCTTACTCTGAGTGTAATGGAGGATTGCCAATTTCAGTGGAGCATCAGTGCAACTGCTGAGCAGAAGGTATGTTGTGGGGGGCTGGCATGCAAGCAGGGACAGTAGTCAGAGGGCTTATGTAGTTATCCGGCTGTGAGATGATGGGGACTTGGGCCAGTTGGAGAATAAAGAACACTGGCTGAAGTGGACACATTCCAGACCTGTCCTACATCTCCATGGGCTCAAAGGGCTAGAGCAGAATTACAAGGATCTCAGCCTTTTGATCCTTATTAATGGCAGCTCAGAACCCTGGGCTCAGCCTCTCATCTATAAACGCTTTCATTTCTAATTTTCTAAACTTATTTTACTACTTTTGTTAATACAAACTTTTTTCATTCCAATGAAATAGTCCACGAATTTTAGATTGTTGGAAATGTTGAAGTTTTGGTTTCCTTTGCCTATTTGTTGGCTTCTTATTGGACAAAGAAATAAGGGACATAAAAGACAAAAATGCTAGGGCTGACATTTAAAAATCTTCTTACTTAGCCCTGGGGACATAAAAGTTACCAAGTAACTTCTCTTTTCAGAAGCAGGACAAGGGTGTAAGGAGTTGCTCCGTAGGATAATCTGTACTGTGTTTACCATTAGACTCCCTCTAAAGCAACTGTTATCAAGAATCTGGGCTGATTTTACCTTTGTTGCCATTATATTCCTGTTTCTGTTTTCCTTGAGGTATTTCCATATGGCCTCATTGCCTTCAGCACACACTTCTTTTGGGGGTTCTTCCATGGGATTGTCCATCAGTGTCAGAACCTTAAGATTCACTAGGGAATCCAAATTCTCTGGAAGATGGGTGAGCAAGTTGTCCTCCAGCCGTAATTCTTTCAAAGCTGAAAAGATTTTTTCGTAATGGTGGTTCAATCTTAGAAGAAACAATATTAACTTGTCACCTAATCCTGTCCACATAGGTGAGGGATCCAATTCTGCATTTGCAAAGGGAATGAGAGGAAGGATGCACAAGACCCGACAAAACTTTTTCTACCATCTAATAAAAGTTCTAGCTCTATGTTTGCTCCTTCTCAAAATGAAGAGAACAGAATTCAGTCTCCAGATATTCCAAATGTTTTGTTTGTTTAGAGCAACAGTTTTTAGCTGAAACTGACAGCCCACTGGGAAAAATCACTCTCAGACCCTGCTGTTCCTAAGGTCAGCAGACTATTGATTTTTTTTTTTTTTTTTTTTTTTGAGACAGAGTCTCACTTTGTTGCCCAGGCTGGAGTACAGTGGCATGATCTGAGCTCACTACAACCTCTGCCTCCCAGGTTGAAGCGATTCAAGTGCCTCAGCCTCCCAAGTAGCTGGGATTTCAGGTGCACGCCACCACACTTGGCTATTTTTTTTTTTTTTTTGAGACAGAGTCTAGCTCTGTCACCGAGGCTGGAGTGCAGTGGCGCCATCTCGGTTCAGTGCAGCCTCCGCCTCCCGGGTTCAAGTGATTCTCCTGCCTCATTCTCCTGAGTAGCTGGGATTACAGGCACCCACCACCAAGCCCAGCTAATTTTTGTATTTTTAGTAGAGATGGGGTTTCACTGTATTGGCTAGGCTGGTTTCGAACTCCTGACCTCATGATCTGCCTGCCTTGGCCTCCCAAAGTGCTGGAATTACAGGCGTGAGCCACCGCGCCTGGCCTACAACTTCTTTATAACAATTCAAAGTTGTTGAAGCCAGTGTCCATAAATATTAGAGACAGAAAAATAGAAAACACTGAAAAATTTTGAGAATATTTCACTCCTCCAGGGACCAAGGACAGGATAAAAATTTATGGTCAGGAGCATTACTAAGGATTACTGCATACAACCCCTTGTCTCCATTTTTTTTTTCTTTTTTTTTTTAAATTTTTTAACTTTTATTAAAACGGAGTCTTGCCCTGTTAACAGGCTAGAGTGCAGTGGTGCAATCTCAGCTCACTGCAACCTCTGCCTCCCGGATTCAAGCAATTCTCCTGCCTCAGCCTCCCAAGTAGCTGGGATTACAGGCACGTGCCATCACACTCAGCTAATTTTGTATTTTTAGTAGAGATGGGTTTTCACCATGTTGGCCAGGCTGGTTTGAACTCCTAACCTCAGGTGATCTGCCCTCCTCGGCGTCCCAAAGTGATGAGATTACAGGCGTGAGCACCGCGCCTGGCCTTGCCCCCAGTTTTTGAATGCCTTATGAGTAGGCATCAGCTTCCACTCTCTCCATTCTTTTTTCATTAAAGAATAACTATAGTTTGGGCCAGGCACGGTGGCTCACGCCTGTAATTCCAGCACTTTGGGAGGCCAAGGTGGGCAGATCACGAGGTCAGGAGATCAAGACCATCCTGGCTAACACAGTGAAACCCCGTCTCTACTAAAAAAAAAAAAAAAAAAAAAAAAAAAAAAAAAAAAAAAAAAATTAGCCGGGCGTGGTGGCGGGCGCCTGTAGTTCCAGCTACTCAGGAGGCTGAGGCAGAAGAATAGCGTGAACCCGGGAGGCAGAGTTTGCAGGGAGCCGAGATCACGCCACTGCACTCCAGCCTGAGCGACAGAGCGAGACTCTGTCTTAAAAAAAAAAAAAAAAAAAAAAAAAAAAAAGAATAGCCATAGTTTGAAAACATGTGCATAAGCCTAGGATTCAGAAAAAAAAAAAGAAACATTTAAAATCTGGTCCCAGTGGGTGCTCAGCAAAAGCATATTAAGTGGATGGATGAATGTACAGACAAAGAATGGCTTAGTGTAGTGGAAAATGTTTGGCTATTTAAGTAGGAATCATATATAGTTTTCCAGGTCAATTATGTAGCTCCAAGAAAGTCTCCTGCTAATTTCACCACTCTGGGCCAATACTTTTTCTTTTACTCAAGTGACTCCGTGACCTAGATGAAATTTACTGCAGGATCCCAACTCCAAATTCTGGCATGTAGTAAGTGTACAGTAAATTATTGTTGGTAGTGTAATAAATGTATGGGTAAATGCTAATTTTCTTAGCAGTCGCTATTTACCTTTCCATTTTAATAAATGACTTAACTGCCTTTGCAAGACTCTTAGCTATACTAATCAGGACACCTGGCCTCCCCCATGTCGCTAAGTGAGCCCTGCAAGGAAGTAATGGGATAGACTCAGTTCTCTGAACACTGAGATAGGTCTTTAGCAAAGCAAGGAAGCCATTTGCCATAGGAAATGCTGGCCACAAACTCTGCTAGGCTGTGAATCTACTAAGTTTCCTCACCTTGTGCTTGGCAAATGGCATCTGGAAGTTGCTTAAGCAAATTGTGCCGGCAATCAAGAACTTCTAGGTTAGGCATTGACCCCAAGGATACGGGCAGGTACTCCAGATGATTGTTCTCTATATATAGCTCTTTGAGACTCTGAAATAACATGAGTGTACCATAATAATATACCTTGATTAATTAATTATAATAACCAGAATCACCTGTGGGTGCTCATGCATTTTTTTTTTTTTTTTTTTTTTTTTTTTTTTTCACTTTCAGTGGGGAAATTACGCATTGAGTTAAGGGAAAAAGCATGTCTAAAGGACCATCATCAAGACCCAAAATTATTTTTGAGTAAATCCATTAGACTTAGTTTCCATTTATGCAGGGAAAAGAGACTACAGACATCTAGTGCTTATTTGTTTCACCAGAACTTTATGGAAAAATAATTTGAATAATTTAACTACATTTATCATTAACTCCTTTTTTAATAGCTAATTGTCTGTGGCAGTTGCTACAGAATGATAATTGCCTCAACTATCAACCCAATATTGCCTCAGTGAAAGTAGCCAAAATGCACAGGGAATGGATTTGAATGTATTCAAAATAACTATTTTCAACTTCACTGGGCAAAAATCTAATGTTTGTACTTCACCCTAAGATTGTGGCATGACAGGTACAAAGGAAAAGCTGATGAAAGGTGTTCTATGAACACAGGGCAAAGGAATGGAGAATTAGGAAGAGACACCCTGTGTCATAGTGAGAACTACCTATGCTGTGCATGGCATTGCATGACTGGGGTTATGTGGTGGCCCACGCCTACTTTATCATCATTAAGAGTGCAGCAGGTCAGACACGGTGGTTTATGCCTATAATCCCGGCACTTTGGGAGGCCGAGGCAGGTGGATCACCTGAGGTCAGGAGTTCGAGACCAGCCTGGCCAACATGGCAAAACCCCGTCTTTACTAAAAATACAAAATTAGCCAGGTGTGGTGGTGGGCGCCTATAATCCCAGCTATTTGGGAGGCTGAGGCAGGAGAATCGCTTGAACCCGGGAGGTGGAGGTTGCAGTGAGCCATTGCACTCCAGCCTGGGCAACAAGAGCGAAACTCTGTCAAAAAAAAAAGTGCAGCAACAGGAACATGAAAAAAAAAAAACAGTTCTTTAAAGGATGAATATATGAAGACACCCTACTATGGCTACTTTGAATGAAGTTATCCTGTTGCTTTGCAAGTATTCCTCACAGCCCTGCAGATCCAGGAAGCTGGTGCAACATGATTTCCCTTTTCCAATCAGGGAGAGAGGTCACACTTCCCCTTACAGGAAATCCTGGGCACCAAAATGTAGGCTCCCAGCATGTCACTTGTATGATACTCTTTAACTTCAAAATAGTCCAGTTTTCAGGGGGCTACTTATAAAAAGTGGAAATTAAATGGAAAGAGTTATGACTCAATTTCTGCAAATGAAACACACCAAATCACACAGTGGAAAGAAGTATGGCAGGACATATCCAACAGCAATCACAATGAAATGTTGAAGAGTTGTTCACGGACAGTGGAAACCTCAAAATGTAAAAATGATTGCTTGTCTGAAGCTGGAAATCTAGTATGGATGATTCTACATCCAGCCTGTGGAGACCTCATATTTTCTCAGTTTCAGCCAATTTAAGAGGCAGTGACAGGTGCTTCTTAGCCTGCTCATTTGGGGAGGCTTACCTGCAGTTTCCTAATGTGTTCTGGCACATAGGTAAGTTTGAATCCCTGGTCTTGCCCAATGTATAATTTCTCTAAAGACGCTAAAGAAAGGACTTCCTCCGGAAAGGAAAGGAACTCATTTCCTGTTAGTCCAAGTATCTTCAGTTTTGAAAGTGAGCCCAATTCTGAAGGTAACTAGAAGTATTCCAAAAAGATAAGTTTCAGGTCAAGATTATTTTTAACAGCAGAGATAAATTGGGCTTCTGGTTTTGAGGCAGACTGCTAAACAAGTGGAGTAACTTAGCCTCTCCTACTAGTGAAAAATTTGTGCACATATCTGCATTACAGTATTTATACTTGTAGATCTAAAGTCTCTGATTTCACTTTTATGCACCACTTTAAACTGGAGCAATTTTTTGTGGCTGGGCGCGGTGGTTTATGCCTTTAATCCCAGCACTTTGGGAGGCCAAGGCCAGTGGATCACCTGAGGTCAGGAGTTCAAGACCAGCCTGGCCAACATGGCGAAACCTTGTCTCTACTAAAAAATATAAAAATTAGCTGGGTGTGGTAGCGGGTGCCTATAATCCCAGCTACTCGGGAGGCTGAGGCAGGGGAATCTCTGGAATGTGGGAGGCAGAGGTTGCAGTGAGCCGAGATTGTGCCACTGCACTCCAGCCTGGGCGACAGAGCGAGAATCTGTCTCAAAAAAAAAAAAATTGGAGCAATTTTTAACCTATGTTCTTGCCATTTATGGACTGTAGTGTGGCAACTGTTTGACACTATAGAAAGAAAAATACTAAAGTTATGTGTAATATTGCAATAATAATATTCATTATAAATTCAGTTATTGGAACTAATAAATTTAGTGATATGACTCTTCATCCTAAAAGGCTTTAATAATTTTGAAACTTCAGTTGAAATCTCAGTTGGAGGCAAACATATATTCACACCATTTCTAATCAGTGTTCAGTGAACTCCATTATGATCCTATCGTGTCATGTTCTGCTTTTCAGTGAATACCCAGGCTTGTGTAACCTGTGTGGGAACTGGGTCGGCATTTCACAGAGTGCCACACTTTCAGGGCTGGAACGCCTTAAGAAGGTTCTCTATTTCAACCTTCTAATACAGTGCTTGCATACTTTTTATAGCGAGCCATCCAGTTTTATCTAAACACCACCTCCTGTGAAGAAAAGCTCATTATCTTCTATGGCTACTTCTAATCATCAGATTTCCTACTTTAGTACAGCCAAAATCAGCTTCACCATTATGTCCGTCTATCGGTTTCTTTCTGGACCATGGGAGACCACATGGGAAAAAAATCTCTTTTTTTTTTTTTTTTTTTTTTTTGAGACGGAGTCTCGCTCTGCCGCCCAGGCTGGAGTGCAGTGGCGCGATCTCGGCTCACTGCAAGCTCCGCTTCCCGGGTTCACGCCATTCTCCTGCCTCAGCCTCCCGAGTAGCTGGGACTACAGGCGCCCACCACCACGCCCGGCTAATTTTTTGTATTTTTAGTAGAGACGGGGTTTCACCATGTCAGCCAGGATGGTCTCGATCTCCTGACCTCGTGGTCCGCCCGCCTAGGCCTCCCAAAGTGCTGAGATTACAGGCATGAGCCACCGCACCCGGCGAAAAAATCTCATTCTTAAAATATGTGACAATCACCCTATTGACTGTGTTACAGAGATGCCTTATTTTCTCGTAGAAAAAAATCCCAGCTATATAGCTCAACAGCTCCTTAACTCATATGTTCCTTTATCTGGCTTAATTCCTAACTGGGAAATCCTTCCCCACAGTTCCCTGCTTGAGCCCATGGGCATTCTTCCCATCCATTCCCTAGTCAGCCACCCTACTTTCATTCTGGCTAGAGCTCAGCTGAGCCACTCCCACCCCCACCTCTCTATGGATGGGTGGAATAGACAGGTAATTGGTGAATGGGTCACTTACAGTTGGAGAAAAAGAAAGTTCACTGAGGACAACCTATCTGTAAAAGTTTCACATACTTGGAATCTTCCATAATGCATTTTTCTCTTTTTTGTGTAGAGTAAGGACTCATTTTCCTAAAAATGCTGTAACAGTTTTCCAGTTTTATTTATTTACCTATTTATTTTAATTAGATGAAGTCAATCTTTGGAGAAACTGATGTTTAAGCTTTCCTCTTTGGCTATTTCAAAATTCTTCATCAAGCACTTAGATGTCTTCAATACAAAATGCCTGCATTCTGTGCAGTCCAAAACAATGAAAAAAGATTTTTCAATCTAACCATTTTATTATAACCTAGAAATTTCATTCTTATTGCTGTTCACTTAACTCATAAAAGCTTAGCTTTTCTTTTTCAAAGCACATTGAATGTTCAAAAATTTTTTTTAGGAGTATTTAAGATCCAGTAGTTAGTTTCATCATAGTCATAGTAAAGTATAATGAGAAGAAATCTAGATGTATAGAAAATCTGTAGAGCATTAGATGAGGACAATTACTGATGACACTGTAACTGACATATAGCCATTTTGGGATCTGGTACATTGTTTTGGTTTTTTCCTTTTTCTTTTTCTTTTTTTTTTTTTGAGGCGGAGTTTCACTCTTCTTGCCTCGGCTGGACGGCAATGGTACAATCTTGGCTCATTGCAACCTCTGCCTCCTGGGTTCAAGCGATTCTCCTGCCTCAACCTCCCGAGTAGCTGGGATTACAGGTGCCCACTACCATGCCCGGCTAATTTTTGTATTTTTAGTAGAGATGGGGTTTCGCCACGTTGGCCAGGCTGGTCTCAAACTCCTGACCTCAGTTGATCCACTCGCCTCATCCTCCCAAAGTGTTGTGATTACAGGCGTGAGTCACCGCACGTGGCCTGCTTTTCTCCTTTAATAGAAGTATACTCTACAAATAAAATCCATCTAGGTACACATTGAAAATCAGATATTTTTTGCATGCACACAGGCAAGTAGAAGCTACTGGTTAGGCTTTAAGAGCTAGTAACCCATGAGTTGAGTCTTTGGGGAGGGAGAGATAATGAGCTGGCTTAAAGGCCATGTTTCATTGAGGAGAGAAATGCATTGGAAGGTGGTATTAGCATAAGAGGAAATTGAGAAGGGAGGACAAATGCACACACACACACAAAACCCATCAGAATAACTGAAGAGGAAAAAGCACTGGTACACAGAGATTGTCATGTTCAATACAATAATATTTAACATGTCTACATTTCAGTGCAGTTTGACTTGTGCTAAAACTTGGTATTGGATGAAGCTTATTTTTGTTAACAAGCAGTCTGTGTGTGATTTGCTCCTTTGATTTCTTAAAATTTCTCTCAGAAAAGGATTAGGTATTATTCATGGCTCAGTATAATGTGTTATCCCTCCCACATGTACTTTATATTTTAAGTCTTTCACTCCAACTGCAGAATGACTGACTTAGTCCACTAAAAGGAATTTCTTACATCAGCAGTGGAATAGTTCAGGGCCGGGCTCTCACGGAACCTCAAAAATCCTCCAAGGTGAGTTGCTACATCAGTGGAGATTAAGTCCTAGAATCTCGACCTAAATCTACAAGTTACCATCAAAATGTTTACTTCCTGAAAGGCAGCTTTAAAACCCCATAGCAATTTGGGGAAAAAAGTTCTAGAAATAAAAAATCAAATAAAAGATTTTTTTAGCAGCCGGGCACAGTGGCTCACGCCTGTAATCCCAGCACTTTGGGAGGCTGAGGTGGGCAGATCATGAGGTCAGGAGTTTGAGACCAGCCTGGCCAATATGGTGAAACCCTGCCTCTACTAAAAATACATAAATTAGCCGGGCGTGGTGGCAGGCACCTATAGTCCCAGCTACTCGGGAGGCTGAGGAAGGAGAATCGCTTGAACCTGGGAGGTGGAGGTTGCAGTGAGCTGAGATGGCGCCATTGTACTCCAGCCTGGGCAACAGAGCGAGAGCTCATCTCAAAAAAAAAAAAAAAAAGATTTTTAAAAATAAATCCGTAAGGCCCAGGACTTTTATAATTTATAGGGAACACATGAGACTGGTGTCCATGGCCAGGTAAAGCAGACCTATTATTTGATTATAGTTGTTGATTTCCAAATTCCCCTTTTTACTCCCTCTACAGTTGTCTTTTGCTCTTAACAGCTATTTTTTTCTTTTTAAATCAAATATTATAGGCCAGCCATGGTGGCTTACACCTGTAATCCCAGCACTTTGTGAGGCCAAAACGGGTGGATCACTTGAAGCCAGGAGTTTGAGACCAGCCTGGCCAACATGGTGAAACCCCGTCTCTATTAAAAATACAAAAATTAGCCGGGTGTGATGGCGCACACCTGTAGTCCCAACTACTTGGGAGGCTGAGGCAGGAGAATCGCTTGAACCCAGGAGGCAGAGGTTGCAGTGAGCCAAGATAGCACCACTGCACTCCAGCCTGGGTGACAGAGTGAGTGAGACTCCATCTCAAAAATAAATAGATAAATAAATAAAATTAAAATTGAAATAAATAGAATATTATAAAATAATAAAGAAACATAAACCCACGCGTGCCCAACTGCCCAAATCTTTTAATAAACAAAATGAAATACTGCAATTAAGTTCAGTCCCCTTATGATCTCTTCCCCATTTGCTTTCTTGGTTTTTAAAGACACATTCCTACATTGCCCAGCATGGTCTTGAACTTCTGGCCTCTAGTGATCCTCCCTCCTTGGCCCCCTAAACTGCTGGGATTAGAGGAGTGAGCCACTGCATCCAGCTGCTTCCCTATTTTGTTGACTTCCTTCTCTCTTCCCAGAGGCAGCCACCTTCATGAATTTAGTTTTCTTCCAGTCAATATTTTATATTTTCATTATATATAAAAATATCCATAAAATATGTGTTGTGTGTATATGTGTGTATGTATATACATATATGTGTGTATATATATAGTTTTGTGTGATTTCAAAATTTATAAATGGTATCATAAGGTTCTGCAGTTTGATGCGGAACCTTAGGTTTTCTTTTCAATAAACATCACAATACTGAGATCTATCCATATTGGCAATACAGTACCAGTTCACTTAAATTACTATATAACTTCGTTTTATGAATATATTGAAGTTTATTTGCCCACTCCCCTACTGACATTTAGATTGTCTCCCATAATTTCATGATTATCAACAATGCTAAATGACCATTTTTGAATATGCCACCCTGCACACACGGGACAGTTTCTGTTGGGACAAGTCTGGTTTTGCAGTTTCCTATGGATGGAACTTTAGGCTTCTAAGGCTGTTGTGTATTAGAAACATCTGCTGTTAACGGAAACTCTGTCAGGAGATTGTCTTTGTTAAGAATATAGACCCTGGGCCGTGCGCGGTGGCTCACGCTTGTAATCCCAGCACTTTGGGAGGCCGAGGCGGGCGGAACACAAGGTCAGGAGTTCGAGACCAGCCTGGACAACACCGTGAAACCCCGTCTCTACTAAAAATACAAAAATTAGCTGGGCATGATGGCAGGTGCCTGTAATCCCAGCTATTCGAAAGGCTGAGGCAGGAGAACCGCTTGAACCCGGGAGGTGGACGTTGCAGTGAGCCGAGATCACACCACTGCACTCCAGCCTGTGCAATAGAGCTAGACTCCGTCTCGGGGAAGAGAAAAAAAAAAAAAAAAGAATGTAGACCCTGGAGCCTGGCAGCTGTGGGCTGGAATCGCGGCTGCAGCACTTACAGGCTGTGTAACCTTGGATATGTTAGTTAAGCTCCCTGCCCCTCACTTCCTTCATATACCATTGAGGACACAGTCGTTGTGAGGTAAATGAGATGATCCATGTAAACACTTAGCTCAGTGACTGGCACATACACCCTCTAAATAAACATTAGCTACTATTATGATTACTGCTGCTGTTAGGGAAAAAGAGAGTAATACAAAGTATCACCTTGTTGGATATTTAGTAATCTTGGATTTTCGCCCATAAAGTCAGTTCAAATTTGCTGTTTAGATACAGAACCAACTTAGGGCAGGAAGGACCCTGGATGAGAGCATAGTGACAGCCAGAAAAGGAATCCGTACCTGTCCTATTTTATTGTCATCCAGTCCCAGGACTTCAAGGTTCTTCAGTGCACAGATCTGCAGCGGGCAGTGGTGCAGATGGTTCTGGCTTAGGTCCAGGAAGCGCAAGTTGACCAGGCACCTGAAGGAGCCCCGCAGCCTGTGCAGGCCGGTGTTTCCCAGGTAGAGCAGGTGCAGCGAGGTCCACCTGCAAATGAGGCGTGGCACCTTCTCCAGGCGGTTCCCGCTCAGCCCGATTTCCGTCATCTTCCTGAGCTCGGCGAAGCTCTTCGGGATGGAGTGGAGGAGGTTGTGGGATAAATCGAGCACCGACAGTTGGCTACACTGGCACAAGGACGCGGGCAGAACGGGAAGGTTGTTAGAAGCCATATAGAACTTCTGCAGCCCCGTCAGGTGTCCGATCTCTTCTGGGATGGCACCTATTTTGTTCTCGTCCAGGTCAATGATTTCCAGGGTGTAGAGAACACAGAGCTCCTGGGGGAAAACTTCAAACTGGTTTCGCTTCAGGTAGATCTCCCTCAGCTTGGTCTGGTTCACTATTTCCTTGGGCAGACATTTCAGGTGGTTTCCGGTCAGTCCGAGCAGCTCGAGATGGTGGAGGTTTTTAAAGATGACGACGGGAATTTCCTTCAGGTCGGTCTGGTAGAGCCGGAGCTCGCGCAGGGCGTGGAGGAAGCTGACAACGACAAGGGAGGAGGAGAAGATGGGGTTGTAGCTCAGGTCCAGGCTCTCCAGGCTGCTCAGCAGCCCCAGCGCCGGGCACAGGCTCCTCAGGTTGTTCTTATCCAGGTAGAGGACCCTGATGTTCTTTAAACGCTGAATCTCCTGGGGAATTTCTTCAATCTGGTTATTCTCCAAATGCACTTCTTCTAATTCTGTGAATGTGAAGATCTCCAAAGGAATGGCAGTCAAGCTCTGATTAGAGGCATCAATGAAAAATGTTCTATCATTGACGTGCTGTGGATCATTTCTCTGATGAATTTTAGGTGAATGTTCTACTGATTTTATGTCTTTTGACATTATTGTGAAGAAAAGCTCAAATATTCAAAATCTGAAATATTGTGAAAAGGATGAAAAAAAATAGAATTTACCTGCCACCAGACTTGCTATCCTTAAGAAAAATAAAATTAAAACCTAGTTGATTAAACTTAGTGCTTGAAATTATGACAGAACATAAAATTTAGGTTTTTGCATTTCATGTTAGAAGAATTAAAGTGTAGACTCCTTCCCCTAACACGTAGACTCACATGAAAAAAAAAAAGAGATTAACTTCAGTTTTATTTATTTATTTATTTATTTTTGAGACGGAGTTTCGCTTTTGTTGCCCAGGCTGGAGTGCAATGGTGTGATCTCGGCTTACTACAACCTCCGCCTCCTGGGCTCAAGTGATTCGATTCTCCTGCTTCAGCCTCCCGAGTAGCTGGGATTACAGGCACCCACCACCATGCCCAGCTAAATTTTTTTGTAATTTTAGTAGAGACGGGGTTTCACCATGTTGGCCAGGCTGGTCTCAAACTCCCGACCTCAGGTCCACCCGCCTTGGCCTCCCAAAATGCTGGAATTACAGGCATGAGCCGCCGTGCCCAGCCTAATTTCAGTTAAAAAAAAATGCCTATTCTGAATGTTTCCAGTAGGATGTAGAAGGTTGCAAAAGATCCTTGCTCTTACCATAACACTGAGAAAACACTAGGGAAAAACCTCATCTTTTAAAATACAGTATTTTTCCTTAAAACCACCAGAGAGTCGAAGATACAAAGAAAGCTAAAACAAAAACAAAAACAACAACAAAAACACTATATTCTAGAGATGCACCAACCTTTTCTAAATAACTAGAGACCCGTGAGTAGACCCTCTCATGCCTGATGGCATTTGCAAGTTTGAGGACTGTCAGGCAGAGAAACAACCCTTTAATAGGCACAGGCAAAGGAACTTCTGGGAGAAGAATAAACCTGCCAAACTTTTAACAGTCATGTGTGGGCTGGCATAGTGGATTAGAATCTGGAGTAGCCCCAAATGCAAAGTCAGTTCTCCCCACTAACTAGTTTTTCCCATTAGTCTTTGGCTGGTTAAACGGCCACAGGGAAAATTGCAGGCTGGACTAAAGAACAGAGACAGGTCCTGAAGTTTCATGGTCTTAAGTACCGAAGCCTGGCTGGAAGGAGCTTAACTCTGTCTAAGTGAGACATTTGGAACTGCGGTTAATTGAATGAACTAAAGCCCAACCCAGAAACAAATTAAAGTCTCTGATAAATGGAGGGACAAATCATGTCCATGGATTAGAATTCTCAGTAATGCTAAGATGTCGTGAACCCGGGGGGCGGAGCTTGCAGTAAGCCGAGATCGCGCCACTGCACTCCAGCCTGGGCGACAGAGCGAGACTCCGTCTCAAAAAAAAAAAAAAAAAAAGATGTCAATATTCCCCTAATTGGATCTATAGTTTTTATGCAATGTTAGTCAAAATTTTAGCAAACTTTTTTTTTTCTTTTTTGGTAGAAGTTGACAAGCTGATTCTAAAATTTATATGAAAATGCAAAGGAGCTAAAGATAATCTTTAGTGAAAACAAAATCAGCAGACTTACACTACTAGGCTTATAAATCTTATAAAATGCAAGATGTGAATATTGTATTTCAGAAGAGTAAGTCTTTAGTACACACACACACACACACACACACACACACACACACACACACAGAGTCTATGGGGAAAGGCAGAGAACAACATGACATGATAGTGGCAAGGTTGGCGGTAGCGTCTTTGAACTTCTTTTTAGAATGAAGGCAGTCCTGCTGGAGTATCTGGGCCTCTCATCCATCACAGAGGCCCAGTGCCTAGATGAAGGGGATACATTTCTAGCCCCATACATAATACTGCTATTCCTCAAAACACAACACTATGTGCTTCAGGTGCTTGTTGCTTTATGCCTGGACTCAAAACCAGCTCTGAGACAATGTTATTTAAAGAAAAGGAAAGATTTAACACTGATTTTGTTTAAAACTAGCTGTCTCCAGCATTTTTGTCACTTAGTCATCAGGCAGATTAAATTTATCTAATACTGTTCAGTCCTGTAAGATAAAATCTCCAGTTTCCTACTTGCAAATTTCTGAAAATTCTCCACAGTATGTAGACTGAGGTGATAATACAAATAAAAATAGGGAACACCAAGAACACTGATTATGTACTCCAGGCTTTACTTAAAGTAACCTAATTAATCTTCACAATAATCCTATGCAGGAGGCATCATTATTTGCCCTGTTTCCCAGATAAAGAAATTATATAACTAAAAGGGCTCTTCTCAGAACATGGTAGGAAGTGGGAGTAAGAGCAGAGAACTGGACACAACCTCACCTAGATTTTTAACATCACTCGTTTACAGGAAACCTGGCACTTATTAAAATCATTCTTCTCGGGTGTGAAATTTTAGACTTGATTTTATTGTGCAGCATTACAACAAAGTCAACTGGGAGAAATTTATGTGGATTAGAATTAATATGAGGGTGTCTGGGCTTCCAGACACATGAAATAACTTATTTCTCTTAGCATTCATCTTTCTCCATAATAAGACCTGCTTAGAATATCTGATTGTGTGTGTATGTTATCTCACCTTAATCATATACCCCATCAATTTGACGGCCCTCTGAAAGCTATATATATACACCCATATTTCACGTTCATTTGTGGATTTAATAAAAGGAGATTGTAAAACCCAGATTTGCAATAGCTTTGCCAGTAATTCTGCCACAGTAATTGAGAAAGGGGAAGATTTGGTCTTTATTGGCCATTTTTTCTCTAGGGATTGCTACACAAATGTGATCAAATTTACTTATTATTACAATCCAATATTATGGTCGGGTGATTTTTAAATTAAATAATTGTTACATCTTCATTTGAAGGAGCCAAGATTTGGATAGTTTAACAATTAGCTTTCTTTGTGTAACTCTAACCCCTGAGAAAATCATTTAAGAAACTAATCAGCCCTCTCAAATTTACAGTGAGTGTTGATGCTTTTGTTTCCAAGTCTGTCTATGCACAAACTAGATAGGTAAGACTAGGTTCCTGAGGTTAATATGGTGTGTGACTCTCTCTGTTAGCATAAAAACCCATTTCTAGTTAAAAGAATTTCAAGATTTTGCTTAAAACTTCACTCAGCAGAACTTCTCCTTCTAAAAACTGGTGAATCACAAACAAACTAAAAGTAACCTTAATTGACTTCAGACTGGATATTCATGTAATGGTAATAAAGAGTGGCAGAATATGCCACTCCAAAATATGCCACTTTGGTATGAGGATTACTTTAAGCTAAAGACACTTGAAAAATAGCAGATGCAATAAGTGTATTCTAATCTTCCCTTTCTCGCCTTGAAAACAGGAAATAAAACCTTCCATGTGAAACATGCCTTCCCTATACCAGAAAGAAAATTCTTCAACAGGGAGTCATAGCTGAGAGAATTCTGTACAAATACATCTTGTTAAAAAAAAAATTCCTGGAGGCAGAGCAAGATGGCTGAATAGAACCCTCTAGCAATCATCCCCTCCAACAGGAACACCAAATTGAACAACTATTCACACAAGAAATCATCTTCATAAGAACGAAAGATCAGGTTTGCAATCACAGTCCCTGGTTTTAACATCATAGCAAAGAAAGAGGCACTGAAGAAGGTAGGAAAGACAGTCCTGGATAGTCAGAACCATCCCTCCTCCAACCCCCAGAGCAGCCATGTGGCACAGAGAGAGAATAAGTGTGCTTCGGGGAGGGAGAGGAAAGTGACTGTGGGGCTTTGGAATGGACTTCAGTGCTGCCTGTCACAGTGGAAAGCAACATCGGGTAGAATTCAGGTGGTGCTCATGGAGGGAGCATTTAGACCAGCCCTAGCCAGAGGGGAATTGTCCATGCCAGTGGGTGGAACGTGAGTTCTGGCTAGCCCCACCACTGTGGGATAAAGTGCTCTGGGGGTTCTAAATAAACTTGAAAGGCAGTCTAGGTCACAAGGACTGCAATTCCTGGGCAAATCTTGATGCTGTGCTGGGCTCTGAGGAATTGCTCTTGAGGTGCTAAATGGATTTTAAAAAACAAGACCCAATGATCGATCTGTGGCCCACAAGAAATACATTTCACCTATAAAGACACACATAAGCTGAAAATAAAGGAATGGGAAAAGATATTCTATGCAAATGGAAAACAAAAAAGAGCAGGAGTAGCTATACATATATCAGACAAAATAGATTTCGAGACAAAAGCTATAAAAAAAGACAAAAAAGGTCATTATATAATGATAAAGGGGTTCATTCAGCAAGAGGATATAACGATCATAAATATACATGCACCCAACACTGGATCACCTAGTTATGTAAAGCAAATATTACTAGAGATAAAGAAAGAAATAGACTCCAGTACAATAATGGCTGTTGATTTCAGCATTGGATACTTTCAGCATTGGAGAGATCAAGACAGAAAACCAACAAAGCAGCATTGGACTTAATCTGCACTATAGACCAAATGTACCTAGATATTTACAGAACATTTCATCCAACAGCTGCAGAATACACATTCTTTTCCTCAGCACATGGATCTTCTCAAGGATAGACATATTTTAGGTCACAAAACAAGTCTTAAAAATTTTCAAAAATATCAAAATCATATTAAGTATCTTCTCTGAGCACAATGGAATAAAACTAGAAAGCAATAACAAGAGGAAATTTGGGAATTGTACAAACACGTGGAAATTAAACAACATGCTCCTGAATGACCAGTGGGTCAATGAAAAAATTAAGAAAATTAAAAAATTTATTGAAACAAATTAAAATGGAAACACAACATAACAAAACCTATGGGATACAGTGAAAGCAGTACTAACAGGCATGTTTATAGCAATAAGTGCCTACATCAAAAAAGCAGAAAACTTCAAATAAACAATGTAATGATGCATCTTAAAGAACTAGAAAAGTAAAAAACCAAACTCAAAGTTAGTAGAAGGCTGGGAGTGATAGCTCACGCCTGTAATCCCAGCACTTTGGGAGGCTGAGGCAAGTGGATCACCTGAGGTTGGGAGTTCAAGACCAGCTTGGCCAACATGGTGAAACCCTGTCTCTACTAAAAATATAAAAATTAGCCAAGCATTGTGGTGTGTGCCTGTAATCCCAGCTACTCAGGAGGCTGAGGCAAAAGAATCACTTGAACCCAGGAGGCAGAGGTTGCAGTGAGCTGAGATCATGCCACTGTACTCCATCCTGGGCAACAGAGCAAAACTCTGTCAAAAAAAAAAAAAAAAGTAGAAGAAAAGAAATCACAAAAATCAGAGCAGAAATAAATGAAATTAAAATAAAGAACAATGCAAAAAAATTAATAAAATGAAAAGTTGGGTTTTTTGAAAAGATGAATAAAATCAATAAACTTTTAGCCAGATTAAGAGAAAAAGAGAGAAGATCCAATAAATAAAATCAGAGATGAAAAAGGAGATATTACAACTGATACAGTAGAAATTCCAAGGATCAACTATATGTTAATACATTGGGAAACCTAGAAGAAATGGATAAATTCCTAGATATATACCATTTACCAAGATTGAACCATGAAGAAATCTGAAACCTCAATAGACCAATAGCAAGTAAAAAGATCAAAGTCATAATAAAAAGTCTCCTAGCAAAGAAAAACCTGGGACCCAATGGCTTCAATGCTGATTTTTATCAAACATTTAAAGAAGAACTAATACCAATCCTACTCAAGCTGTTCTGAAAAATAGAGGAGGAAAAACTACTTCCAAATTCGTTCTATGAGGCCAGTATTACCCTGACACCAAAACCAAAGACACACCAAAACAAACAAACAAGCAAACCAAAAAACAGAAAACTGTAGGGCAATGTCCCTGATGGATCTTCTCAGCGAAGATCCTCAACGAAAATGCTAGCAAACTGAATTCAACAACACATTAAAAAAATCATTCATCATGACCAAGTGGCATTCATCTTAGGAATGCAAGGATGGCTCAACATACACAAATCAATCAATGTGATACAACCTATCAACAGAATGAAGGACAAAAACCATATGATCATTTTAATTGATGCTGAAAAAGCATGTGATAAAATTCAACATCACTTCATGATAAAAGCCCTCAATAAACTGGGAGTAGATGGAAGATACCTCAACACGATAAAAACCATATTTGACAGGCCCGTAGGTAGTATCATACTGAATAGGAAATACTGAAAACCTTTTCTCTAAGATCTGGAACAATATAAGGATGCCCACTTTAACCACTATTATTCAGTGTAGCACTGGAAGTCTTAGCTAGAGCAATTAGAGAAGAGAAAGATATAAAGAGCATCCAAACTGGAAAAGAAGAACCCAAATTATCCTTGTTTGCAGATGATATAATCTTATATTTGGAAAATCCTTAAGACTCCACCAAAAAAAATTATTAGAATGGATAAACAAATTCAATAAAGTTGTAGGATACAAAATCAACATATAAAACTCAGTAGCATTTTTATATACCAACAGCAAACAATCAGAAAAAGTAAGAAAATAATCCCATTTACAGTAGCTACAAATAAAATAAAATACCTAAGAACAAACTCAACCAAAGAAGTAAAAGATCTCTACAATGAAAACTATAAAACATTGAAGTAAGAAATTAAAGAGGACACACACACAAAAAAAGGAAAGATATTTTATGTTCTTGGATTAGAATAATAATTATTGTTAAAATGTCCATTTTATCCAAAGCAATTTACAGATTATATACAATTCCTATCAAAATACCAAAGACCTTCTTCACAGAAATAGAAAAAATAATCCTAAAATTTGTATGAAACCACAAAAGATCCAGCATAGCCAAAGCTAACCTGAGCAAAAAGAACAAAACTGGAGGAATCACATTACCTAAATTAAAATTATATTGCAGAGCTAAAGTAGCCAAACTAGCATGGTACTGGCATAAAAATAGATACATAGACCAATGGAACAGAATAGAGAACCCAGATATAAATCCATCATCTACAGTGAACTCGTTTTTGACAAAGGTATCAGTAACATATATTGGGGAAAAGATAGTTTCTTCAATAACGGTTCTGGGAAAACTGGATATCCATATGCAGAAGAATGAAACTACACCCCTATCTCTTGCCACATACAAAAATCAAATCAAAATGGATTAAAGGGCCAGGCATAGTGCCTCACGCCTGTAATCCCAGCACTTTGGGCGGCAGAGGCAGGTAGATCACTTGAGGTCAGGAGTTTGAGACCAGCCTGGCCAACATGGTGAAACCCTGTCTCTACTAAAAATACAAAATTAGCTGGGCGTAGTGGGGGGCGCCTGTAATCCCGGCTATTCTGGAGGCTGAGGTGGGAGAATTGCTTGAAGCTCGGAGGCAGAGGTTGCAGTGAGCCAAGATCAGGCCACTGCACTTCAGCCTGGACCACAGAGCGAGACTCTGTCTCAAAAAACAAACAAACAAACAAACACCCCAAGACCCTAGTAGGCACAGACACAAGCGGCTGGATGTTGAGAGGAACACACCGGCGGAGGAGCACACAGGTGGCTGGACATTGAGAGGAACAGAGGAGCAGAAGAGCACACCGACAGGCACCAGCGGACGCTGCCAGGTCACCGACAAGCAGCACGATGTGTAGACCGAGGGGAATTTGGCCAGGGCAGTCAGTGGAGAGTCTGGCTGCTGAGCGGCCGGACTCCAGGGGAAAACCACCTTTCCACTCCATTCCCTTTCTGGCTCCCCATCCATCTGTTGAGAGCCACTTCCACCAATCAATAAAACCTTGCACTCATTCTCCAAGCCCACTGTGTGATCCGATTTTTCCGGTACACCAAGGCCAGAACCCCAGGAAACAGAAAGCCCTCTGTCCTTGCGGTAAGACAGAGGGTCTAACTGAGCTGATTGACGCAAGCCGCCTATACACAGCAAAACTGAAAGAGCACCCTGTAACACACGCCTACTGGGGCTTTGCTTCAGCAGCTGTAAGCATTCACCCCTAGACGCTGCGGTGAGTTCGGAGCCCACGTGCCCCACAACCTGCCCGTCTGCATGCTCCCCCTAGAGGTTTGAGCAGCGGAGCACCAAAGAAGCAAGCCACACCCCCATTGTTACCGGTAGAAGGTGTCCAGGTTCTTGGCGTCTTGAACAAAGAATTGGACAAAACGCACAAAGCAAGGAAGGAATGAAGGGATTTACTGAAAATGAAAGTATACTCCACAGTGTGGGAGTGGGCCGAGCACAGGGGCTCAAAGACCCCGTTACAAATTTTTTGGGAGTTTAAATATCCCTTAGAGGATTCCATTGGTTACTTAGAGTACGCCCTGTGTAAATGAAGAGGATGAAGTAAGGTTACAAAGTCGTTTATGGTGTACACCCTATGGAGAGGATATTTCCTGTTATAGCCGAAGTGCGAATCGGCCTTATGTTCCCTACCTCCAGACCCTATTTTCCTGCCTCACCATCGCATGCCCTGCAAGGGGGATAAGGAAACTATTACCATTTCAGTATCAAGGAAATGAAACTTACCAGATCGTCACATCTGGACAATGAGACACCAGATCCCTCACCCACCATGATTCCCTAAACGACCACCTGATTCCTGTTGACCAACTCCTCTTCCTTACCCCTCCCTAATTCCTGATTTCCTGCAAGTAGTCACATTTCTTTCTTGCTATGTAAACCCTTGATTCTAGTTGGTTGGGGAGACAGATTTGAGACTGATCTCCTCGGCTGCAGCACCAGATTAAAGCCTTCCTCCCTGGCAATTCTCATTGTTTCAGTGATTGGCATTCTGTGCCAGGAGCAGCTGGATCTAGACGGAACCCCTGGCCTTTTAGTAACACATGTGGATCTGGCCCTGCCCGCCTCCCCGCTGTCTGTACTGATCTGAGTACATTCAAGTACCTGCGCATGCCCAGAACGCACCAAGCATTCTGTCCTCTGGCAGCCTCCTTCGGACCATCCAGATGTCACCTCCTTCAGGAAGCCCTCCCTGGTGGCCCCGCCCTTTGGGAGCACAAAACCCTTTATGCTCCCAAAGCCCAACGCCTTTATCATGTGCTGATGCTACTCTGCTTCTTCGCTGGCCCGGCAGGCCGGTGCACACTTTGTAGGAGCGGGCTTTGTCATAATCTTCTTTGTAGCCCCAGCCCTAGCTCAGCAGCGGAGCCCCTCAAACCTCGGGAACTCCTCCCTGCAAAGGAGCCAGGACGCCCTCCCTCAGGCTGCCTTTAACCAGGGCAGGGTGACAAAGGACCTCCACAGAGTAGGCGGTCACTGCCTTAGCAGTGAGGCCTCAGGGCCCGGGCAGGCACAGCCAGCGGGACTCGAAGCAGGCTGGCGCCGAGGCTCGTGTAGCCGCCTCACAGCTGCAGGCGGACTGTAAGTGCGCGCGCGGTCGCCATGGCAGCGCAGCCGCCGCGGCCAGTGGGTGAGAGGAGCATGGGGAGCTCCCGGGAGGCCGCCCGTGCGCCGGCCAGGTCCCCGGCTTGGGCCTCCACTCAGGCCAGTACTCCGGGCGCGGCCCTGGCGGTCCAGCGCGGTAAGAAGTAGGGAGCACGTCTGCGCGGCCTGGCCCAGACAAAACGCGCGAGGGGCGCCGGGGTCGCACGGCAGGAGTCCTCCCAGCAGCCCGCCAGCCCAAGGCGTCGAGGCGGGAGGGGGGCCCCTGGGAACCCCAGCTGTGGCCAGAGGTTTGGGGCGCCCAGAAACGAGGGCAGGAGAAGAGTCCCCGGTCGCCCTTTGCGACCGGGGGCAGGAGAGGAGTCCACGGAGAGGAGTTCCCGTGGGTCCGCCCTTTGCGCGATAGGTTGTGCAGATGGTGTCTGTCGCCGTGCTCTCAGGGTCTCCGGGAGGGGGTGGCGGGGGGGCTCTTCTCAGCCCCCTTTTTGTGAAAGTCCCAGAGAGCAGGTCACAGGGGGGCATGAGGGTCTTGATACTGTTTCTGACTTTGCACCTCTGTACTATCTCCGTTTTAAATATTTCTGCGCCCATGATTAGCAAGTTAAGCACCTACCCTGAACGGCCACCCCCTACCCGCCATTTCCGTTTTATATGCTGGTTTTAAAGTCTGTTTGTGGATACGGAACTGTGTTCGGAGGCTGGCTTAATAATACTGCATCCAGGAGATGGGCAGTGTTAGGCTCTGCCTTTAGCATGAGAGGAAATTTAAGCTGGCATAACAACTTGTTCAAATGTACACACTGCGGATTCTGGATAGGGCACCCACGTTCTGACTCATGCTTATCGCTTAGATTTCCCAGTGCTTGGCTAAGTATAGAAAAGCATGTTTTGGAGGGATCTACCTCCTAAGTAAGTCCTCTCTCTGGAAATTGTTAAAACGTGGCTGCCAGAGGCGTGGATGAAAAAATGAAATTTGGGTTAGGTTCTTGACATTTTCCTGCGTAGCTGGGTTATTTCCTAGTTTTTGCTTTACAATTTGAAGGCTATTTTCCTTCTAATATGAATACAATATAGGAAATAAATTCATTGGTGCCACAAAATCCTGGCATACAAAATACGTAGGTGAATTTTAAATCAAAGGAAGGGTAGCAGAAACTTTTAAATACTGTAAATCTCTGGCTAGCTTGTTAAATAAGAATATTTCCATAACTTTGTTTAGCTGTATTTAGCTCGTAGTCTAAGATTCCTTCATGCCTTCGCGAAAATGAATTGTAGTCTGACACATTTCTGTGCCCTCGGAGATTCTCAGGGCAATTTTTCTCTTAATACCAAGGAAGACAGTAGGGAAGAAAGAAGCCCAGTGGGAGCCCAGCTCCAACTTCTATTTGGGATCTACTTGCTTTGTTTCCTGGGGAGGACGCTAAAGCAGCATTTTCTAGATTGCATTCCAAGTGAGGTTTTTGTTTTGTTTTGTTTTTGAGATGGAGTCTCCTCTGTCGCCCAGGCTGGAGTGCAGTGGCGCGATCTCTGCCCACTGCAACCTTGTAACCTCCACCTCCCGCATTCAAGCGATTCTGTCGCCTCAGCCTCCGAAGTAGCTGGGACTACAGGCATGCGCCACCACACCAGCTAATTTTTGTATTTTTGGTAGAGATAGGGTTTCACCATATTGGCCAGGCTGGTCTCGAACTCCTGGCCTCAAGTGATCCGCTCGCCTCGGCCTCCCAAAGTGCTGGGATTACAGGCGTAAGCCACCGCACCCGGCCGGAAATGCAGCATTCTTATCCTCCCTATTCTCAAGCTTAACAGTTTGCAGAGTGTGCACGTTTTAAATGCCCTGAGAAGTGTTGTGTCTGTGTATAGTTTTGTTTATTTTAGTACTTCTCAGACTTACTTGATAATAAGACCTATTCTATTTGGAACACCTTTGATCATCCTGTAGAACATGCATATTCCACAAAATACAGTTTGGGAAATATTGTGCTACAATATCATTTAAATACATGAAAATTTTCTAAAATAGGTGAAGCTTTTTTTAATACGTACATCTATCCACATGACAGAAATTATGCTATTTAAATTTTTCAGAGAATATCTAGTGACATGGGAAAACTGCTTACAATATAATGTTAATTTAAAAAACAGCATATAAAGTTATATCCAAAGATTCCAATTTTGTTTAAAAAATACTTAATATGCATATAAAAGAAAAACTATAGGAAGTATGTATGCCTAGACCTCAATTGTGGTTGTTCTTTGGCAGTGGGATTGCAGATTAACATGTATTTTTTTTTAATGTTAGAAATTTCCGGTCGGGCTCAGTGGCTCACCTGTAATCCCAGCACTTTGGGAGGCTGAGGCAGGCTGATCACTTGAGGTCAGGAGTTTGAGACCAGCCTGGCCAACATGGTGAAACCCCGTCTTTATAGCTGGGTGTGGTGGTGTGTGCCTGTAGTCCCAGCTACTCGGGAGGCTGAGGCAGGAGAATCGCTTGAACCCGGGAGGCAGAGGTTGCAGTGAGCCGAGATTGCGCTCCTGCTCTCCAGCTTGGGTGGCAGATCAAGAACCTATCTCAAAAAAAAAAAAAAAAGAAATTTCCAAATTGTCTGGAATAAGTATATTAAATTTATTTTTAAAAAGGTTATTAAAAACTATAAGAAAATTTTGTTTGCTTTCATCTGAAATGTAATGTTCCTCATGTTAAATCTCGTTCTGCAGATCCGTTTAGCAAACTCATTATTCTTCAGAGTGCAAAGGACACTCAGTAAACAACATTTCTGAGATGTAGAGACTTAGAAGAGAAGCCAGCTCCTAAAAAGCTAGGCTGGTTGAGCAATGAGATCTCTGTGCACAAATTTTTAAAAGACATCCACAAAAGGTAGATGTATAGAAAACAAAGACAGTGGCCTGTACTTCTAAGAAAAGTAACAGCATAACTTCCACCCCAGAAGATGTAGGCCTTGCAGAAGATGCTTTTGAGGTATTACTGAGAACAGCAAGGTCATTAAGGAAATCTGCATGTATAACAGAAAGGAGATCTCAACTCCTGCTTTGTGTCTGTCTTCTTAAGAACTTAGGGAAAAGTCACCTTTAGAAAGAGGAAATGGAAGGCTGGGTAGGAGAAGAGCTTCTGTGAGCCAGGCCTCGATTTGGTATGAAGAAATGACAGTTACATTCAAACTTGGGATGGTGTAGAGGGTATCCAAGAAGCTTGTGGGAGTAGGTGCTTTATCAGATCCCTTTTGAGTTAGGTTATTAGATAAAATTGTTTTTATGTGAAGCTATTTTAAGAAACCTTTTCCTCTCGTGGATGCTGAGATACTGAGTTGAAAAAAAAAAAAAAAAAAAAGAAACCTTGAGTCCCTGTAACCCATTAGGGCACAGTGGAAAGAGGTTTTGGAATCAGTTTGATTCTGCACTCTGCCTTTATTAGCTGCATGGTTTTGGACAAAATATACAATTTCTTTGGAAGTCATTTTCCTCAGCTACCAGGCCTGGCACATAATGGAGCTTAGTTCTCCCTTTATGTCACTTCCAACGTAGGGTGCTCACTTGAGCCAGTGTCTGCCAAGCCTCAATGGGTGCTTCAATGGCCCTAGTTCTCCAAACAGCATTTTAATTATCTCTCCCATTCATTATTTTTATTTCTCTTCTCTTTTTCTAACCTTAATTCTGTTTCCTTTTCTTCCCTACCCCCACTATACACACATACAACTCATATATTTGAAAGAGGTAGTTTTTATGGTTTTTTTTAAAGCTTCTAGAATAATTTATATGTGATAGAGGATGCATATATTTTTCAGAATCTCCAGAATCTGGTCTCCAGAAACATTATTCTAATCTGTGTATGGAAAAATCCCAGAAAATTAATCCTTTTATATTGCATATACTCCAAGAAGTGGATGAAGAAATTAAAAAGGGGTAAGAAAGACAAATACTTGATTACATTAATAGTGTTTGCTTATATTCATGTGTGTGAAAATCCTAACATATTGAGTGATTTTATAGCCATTTGAAAATGCTTGGTAAAATGAACATACCATTTGATTCAGGTAAGTAAGTACACGAGCAACACTGTTAGTAGGTCTTAGAGGTGGTATAGTATTCAGGAAAGAGCACTAGACCAGGAGTACCCAAGCTTGGGCTCCAGAGTGATCTTTAACTTCTGTGGGTGGGGTGAATCTTTTTTTTTTGTTTGTGGGCAGGGTGAATCTTTTTTTTTTTTTTTTTTTTCTGAGATGGTGCCTCCCTCTGTCGCCCAGGCTAGAGTGCAGTGGCGTGATCTCGGCTCACTGCAAACTCAGCCTCCTGGGTTCAAGCAATTCTCCTGCCTTGGCCTCCCGAGCAGCTGGGATTACAGGTGCTCGCCACCATGCCCGGCTAATTTTTGTATTTTTTAGTAGAGACAGGGTTTCACCATGTTGGCCAGGCTGGTCTCGAACTTCTGACCTCAGGTGATCAGCCCGCCTTGGCCTCCCAAAGTGCTGGGATTACAGGCGTGAACCACCACGCCTAACCTGAGCTGGGTGAGTCTAAGCAAATCACTGAAGTTTTCAGTGTTATCTATAAAGTGGGGATACTGTTTGTGTGAGTGTGAGTGTGTGTGAGAGAGCTAAATATATGGAATCTTTTAAAGCACTTTGCAGTCTGCAGAATGTTCAGTAGTTTTAAGTTACCTGGTATAAATATACTGTATAAGTCTACTTATTATATGCTTGCTTCCAGTAAATGATATCTGTGATATGACTATTTATACATGAAGGAAACATACTTTTACTTCTTTACTGGGTTTCTATTTCAAAATCTTTTTTTTTTTTTTTTTTTTTTGTATTTTAACAGGCTAGCAGCAGGAATCACATTAAACATTGCTGGTAACAATCGCTTAGTGCCAGTAGAAAGAGTTACAGGTGAAGATTTTTGGATTCTTTCCAAAATTTTAAAGAATTGTCTGTATATTAATGGTATGTTTCCATAAGAATCAATACCTCCTGCTTTTCATTGATCTGATTTTAAGTATTCTTTATAATGAATATCCACTTCTATTCATCTGTGCTTCAGGTTTGGATGTTGGATATAACCTTCTATGTGATGTTGGTGCATACTATGCTGCGAAACTGCTTCAGGTATTATTTTACTACAAAATGTCCTTAGTTCCATTTACAATGAAACCAATTAGTCTAATGACACACACATAAAACACTAGTTTTACCTGATGTCAAGGGTCCTGACTCTGTGCTAGAACACTCGAAATATACTGGAAACCCATTGTGGATTTGGTCTCAATGGAGCCAGTAGCTAGAGCTCCTAAGTTATCTTTTGCAAACTTGTACACCATGATTAAATATATACACCACACATCTTTCAGATTGATCAAAGGTAAATATAGTTTTTTCTTTCATTTATATTGTAATTATATTTTGATTACATGAGAATGATTTTTTTCCTTAATGTAGTTGTTTTTGCTAGGATACAGTTTTTCTTGGTTATAAAGATTTTCTTTGGAGGAAAACACTTATTCAAATAAAGTATATACTGTATGTGTATATGTATATACATGTATGTAAAACTGACCAATTTCCAATAATAATAATGTGTAATAGCTTCTTTTCTCTTATAGAAACAACTTAATCTCATTTACTTAAACCTCATGTTTAATGATATTGGGCCCGAAGGTGGAGAATTGATTGCTAAAGTGCTACATGTAAGCATTTATGTATTTCAAACTAACATTGTATTTGGAAATTCTAACTTCTGATAGCTTGGAACCAACAGTGTCCAATGTTGAAGTGAACTTATTTTAATATTGTAGGAATGTATATTTTTATTATACTTTAATTTATTCAAGTGTAGACATTGCATGAACACTTTTGAAGTCATAGTTTTACTAAGATTTAACTCACATACATAAAATATACCCTTTGAAAGTCTTCAGTGGTTTTTTAAGTATTAATATATTCACAGGGCTGTGCAAGTATCACTACTATCACTATTTTAAAAACATTCTTATCACCCCAAAAAGAAAAGCCCTAAACTCATTAGCAATCCCTCTCCATCTTTTCTACCCCCTGCTCTCCAGCCCCTGGCAGTCACTAACCTACTTCGTCTCTCTATGTATTTGCCTATTGTGGACATTTCATATAAACAGAATCATACAATATGTGGCCTTTTGGGACTGGCTTAATGTTTTCAAGGTTCATCTTGAAAACCCAGTCACAAAGATTTATGTTTTTTTAAGAGTTTTACAGTTTTAGCTCTTTCTTTGATCCATTTTAATTTTTGAATATGGTATGAGGTAGGAATCCAACTTTATTCTTTTGCATGTGTATATCCACGTGTCCTAACACCATTTGTTAAAAGACTATTCTTTCTCCCATTGAACTGTCTTGACAGTTTTGTCCAAAAATCAGCTAACCATCATTACAGGAGTTTATTTCTGTACTCTCAATTCTATTCTTTTAATCTGTATGTCTATCCTTATGCCAGTACCACACTATCTTGATTACTATAGCTTTGTAGTAGGTTTTAAAATCAAGAAATGTGTCCTTGTTCTTTTTTCAGGATTGTGTTGGCTCTTCTGTGTCCCTTGCATTTCCATATGAATTTTAGGTCAGTTAATCAATTTCTGCAAGAAAAGCAGCTGGGAGTTTTTTTTTTTTTTTTTTTTGAGATGGAGTTTTGCTCTTGTTGCCCAGGCTGGAGTGCAATGGCGCGATTTTGGCTCACCACAACCTCCACCTCCTAGGTTCAAGCAATTCTCCTGCCTCAGCCTCCCAAGTAGCTGGGATTATAGGCATGCACCACCATGCCTGGCTAATTTTGTACTTTTAGTAGAGACAGGGTTTCTCCACGCTGGTCAGGCTAGTCTCAAACTCCCGACCTCAGATTATCTGCCCACCTCGGCCTCCCAAAGTGCTGGGATTACAGGCATGAGCCACTTCACCCGGCCAGCAGCTGGGATTTTAATAGGAATTACAGTAAATCTGTAGATCACCTTGGGGAGTATTGCCATCTTAAGTCTTCCAAACCTCGAACATAAGATGTTTCATTTATTTAAGGCCTTTCATTTCTTTCAGCAATGCTCTGTAGTTTTCAATGTGCAAATCTTACATTTCTTTTGTTAAATTTATTCCTAACTTTTTTTTATGCTATTGTAAGTGGAACTGTTGTTCTTAATTTCATTTTTAGGTTGTTCATTGTTAGCATATGGAAATACAGCTGTTTTTGTATATTGATCTTGTGTCCTGCTATGTTGCTGAACTCTTGTGTTAGTTCTAACAGGTTTTTTTGGTGGAATCCTTAGGATTTTCCCTATGCAAGATGGTGTCACATACAGAGTTTCACTTCATTTCCAATTTGTATGGTTTTTCTTTTTGTTTTTCTTGGCTAATTTCTCTGGCTAGAACCTCCAGTACAATGTTAAATAGAAGTGGTGAGAGGACATCCTTTTCTTCTTCCTGATCTCAGAGGGGTTTGAATCGTGATAATTATTTACACTATTATATGTCCTAATAGTTACTCATTAGAATGATGAAATGTCTGTGATTTTGTGAAATATTTATCAAATTATATTACTTTAAAAGTGATATAGGAGGAATGGGGAGTGACTGGTTAATGGTATAGGACCGGCTTCGGGGATGATGAAAATGTTTTGGAACTAGCTACAGGTGATGACTGTGCAATATTGTGAATGTACTAAATGCTACTGAATTGTATACTTTAAAATGGTCAGTTTTATGTTATGTGAATTTCACCTCAATTTAAAAAAGTGAAGTGCTATAATTTTCTTAAGATAAATTTACAGATTTTTCCAGTGAAAGTTTATTAATATATGTTTTATTTACTGGTTATTGCTTGGGCATCTGTTTCTTGGGCATTCTTTCTACTCAACTGTTAAACTAGATTTTTATCTATTATGGTAGATTGAATGTTACCTTTAAGGTATATATCCTCTTCTGGCTGGGCGCGGTGGCTCATGCCTGTAATCCCAGCACTTTGGGAGGCCGAGCTGGGCAGATCACGAGGTCAGATCGAGACCATCCTGGCTAACATGGTGAAACCCCATGTCTACCAAAAATACAGAAAAAAATTAGCCAGGCGTGGTGGTGGGTGCCTATAGTCCCAGCTACTTGGGAGGCTGAGGCAGGAGAATGCTGTGAACCCAGGAGGTGGAGTTTGCATTGAGTCGAGATCACACCACTGCACTCCAGCCTGGGCGACAGAGCGAGACTCTGTCTCAAAAAAAATATATATCGTGTTCTAGCTCCATGAAAATTGGAGTCTGCAAATAGTAATACAGTCTCCTAATTCATGTAATATATAGAATTCTGTGGATTAACAATTATTAAATAAGTTTTTTTTCCTTTTCAGAAGAATCGGACTCTGAAATACCTAAGAATGACTGGAAACAAAATTGAAAATAAAGGTGGAATGTTTTTTGCTGCAATGCTGCAAATTAATTCATCATTAGAGAAATTAGATCTGGGTGACTGTGATCTGGTGAGTAAACTGGTTATGAGAAAATCATCCAGATAGTGGGTCATTAGAGAACAGCTAAATCAGAGTCTTATGAATGATTAATTTTGCCTCTTATGTCTAATATCAGAGAAAAGGTGTTTTTCCCCTAGACATAATAGTGCAGATTATTAATAAAATCAGACTATAGTAAATAACATAGAAAAATACTTAATAAAAATATTCCTAAACTTCCATCTATATAACTCATCTTAAACTGTATGGAATTTTTAGAAAAAGATCATGTTCACTTTAATTAAACAAATATTACTTTATTCATATAATTTTTTACTTTTGAAAATACATTTTAGGCTGCAGTGGCTCACGCCTATAATCCCAGCACTTTGGGAGGCTGAGGCAGGTGGATCACCCGAGGTGAGGAGTCCAAGACCAGCCTGGCCAACATGGTGAAACCCCGTCTCTACTAAAAATACAAAAATTAGTCGGGGCCTGGTGGCGGAAGCCTGTAATCCCAGTTACTCAGGAGGCTGAGGCAGGAGAATTGCTTGAACCAGGAGGTGGAGGCTGCAGTGAGTTGCACTCCAGCCCCTGGGCGACAGAGTGAGACTCTGACTCAAAACAAAAATAAAATACTTTTTAGTAGTTACTTATATTGTAGCACAAAAACTTAAAATGATGATGCTAAAAGCTGCTCTGAAGCTGGGCGACATGACATGCACCTGTAGTCCCAGCTATTCAGGAGGCTGAGGTGGGAGAATCTCTTGAGCCCAGGAGTTTGAGGTTACAGTTCACTACAACCGTGCCTGTGAACATCCACTGTACTCCAGCATGGGCAACATGGTAAGACCCTGTCTCTAAAAATTATTAAAAAAGATAAAAGTCGCTTTGAACCTTCACCTGGCCTGATAATGAAAAATGTGTTTTTTTGCATGTCTTCAAATTCCAGGCTTCACTTTCTCTGACATGCTTTCAAATCTTTAGGCCTACTCTTGGGAACCTGTTGTATAGCCTCAGGTTAATCAATGTGACATGAAAATAAGATGGGCCAGGGGGCTCTCTGGTATAATAGATTCTGAAGGATTAACTTTTTTTTTTTTTGGAGACAGAGTCTCACTCTTGTCACCCAGGCTGGAGTGCAATGGCGTGATCTCGGCTCACTGCAACCTCCACCTCCCGGGTTCAAACAATTCTCCTGCCTCAGCCTCCTGAGTAGCTGGGATTACAGGTGCCTGCCACCACGCCCAGCTAATTTTTTTTTGTATTTTTAGTAGAGACGGGGTTTCATGATGTTGGCTAGGCTGGTCTCAAACTCCCGACCTCAGGTGATCCACCTGCCTCGGCCTCCCAAAGTGCTGGGATTACAGGAGTGAGCCACAGCGCCTGGCCAAGATTAACTTTTTAAGGTGGTAGATGCAGCCAGTGTGGTTCTGGGAAAACATTAATTCGGTACTTATCATCTCCACATACCAGTCATTGTGCTGGACACTAATGATACAACAGTGAATCACATGGCCTCTGCCTCTGCCCTTATGAAACTTATATTTTAGTTGGGGAAACACCAATGAAGAAGTAGAGGAAAGTGCTACAAAAATGACTGAGTACTCTGATAATGGGGAGAAGTAATTCTGCTACAGGAGGGTTGCCTAAGACTTATATTACTAAGGTAATATTTACGAGTTATGAAGGATGAGAAAAAACTCATGGAGAGTGTCCATGTCAGAACCTTCCAGGCAGAGCACCAGCATGCACAGACATTAAGATAGTGCTTCCCTAAGTGTGGCATGGGTAGCATTCTTGGTGCAGAGTGAGGTAATTTTCATACTCATATATTTATTTTTACAGATGCTTTCTGTTTGTTTCAAGGGATTATGGTTTTCCATTTACAGCAGTGATACAAAGTTTTATTTTAAAATAAATATAATTGAAAAAGTGAGTTGATTTAATGGGAAAGTATTAAGTAAATGGTGTAAAGTAAGTTTGGGCGTGGTGGCTCACGCCTGTAATCCCAGTACTTTGGGAGGCCAAGGCAGGCAGATTGCCTGAGCCCAGGAGTTTGAGACCAGCCTCAGCAACATGGGAAAATACCGTCTCTACAAAAAATACAAAATTTAGCCACGCATGGTGTTGCATGCCAGCTACTAGGGAGGCTGAGGTGGGAGGATTGCTTGAACCCAGCAGGTCAAGGCTGCAGTGAGCCGAGTGTGCCACTGCACTCCAGCCTGGGCGACAGAGTGAGACCCTATCTCAAAAAATAAATAAATAAAAACAAAAATAGTGTTAAATATTTTGCATACTGAGATATGGCAAAAATCACGAGGGAGGTACATGAATAATAAAATAGCAAGTGTCACAGGTTTTAAGAACTGAGAAGTCAGAATGGCTGAGCAGACAAAGTTAAGAGTGCCTTGAAGTAAAAGTAGAGAAGCTTATGGAGGCCAGATATGGCAAAGTTGTGTGGGTTGTGGGTCACAGGTAAGGGGAAGAAGTGGGGGTTGTATTATAAATGAAAATCATGGAAAAAGCAAATCATGGAAATCTGGAAAAGCTCTGAGGGGTAATGATCTGATTGGTGGTTTTAGATCACTGGTTTCTCTGTGCAGAAGTAAAGGGTGGCAAGAAGAAGCCATCTGACCACTTAGTAGTCCAGGTGAGAGGTGAGGAGGACTTGGGCTGGGGTGGTGGCCACAGAGATGGACAGGAACAGACTAATTTGAGACATCTTTTGGAGGCAGCAGAATCTGTAAGTCTTAGTGATCAACTGGATGGGAAGGTAAGAGGAATGGCAGAGTGAGAGGAAGCCCATGGTTTCCGGCATACCAGCTGGGTGTACATGGTGGTGTCCATCACGGATATGGGGAGACTAGGCCCTTCCAGTCAGATAGAGCAAGAGAGGCCTATGGGATCTGTGAAAAATGTGATTGGTAACCTTTTCCCACCGCACACACACTTAAAAGTACTAGTATGAATATAAAAGAGTGCTTGCACAATGATGTGTGTTGGATAAGTAGTATGAGCTCTAGCTGGGATCCACATAGAAGCTTGAGGGGTGAGGAAAAAAAACCTAGAGGGAAACACCCAGGAAATGGACACTGAAACATTAAGAAACTCCCCATGCCATGTTTTAGATAGATTTTAGGGCCAGGAGAGAAGAATACAGTAACAATTCATTTTTGAATTTGATCAACTTACAATTCAAAGTCCAAGGAATGCTTAAATTTTAAAAACAATTTTATCAGAATGCAGATAGCTGATCTTGAAATATTTATGTAGCGAGATTATTATATACTTTGTCTGTTTCCTTAATGAATTTACCTGTTTTTAGGGAATGCAAAGTGTGATAGCATTTGCTACAGTACTAACTCAAAACCAAGCAATTAAGGCAATAAACCTAAACCGACCTATACTGTACAGTGAACAGGTATGTATTCAAAGTGATGGTAGTTAATATAACAACATGAATAAAACTAAGGTACTACTACAAGTTTATGTCAAGGTACATGAATACACTGTATTTTTAGAGATGTACTTACTATATCTTGTAAACTACTATTTATAAAAATGTTTAAATGAAAATTATATCAATTCTTGGTAAGACGTTTATAACTAAATATGCTTTTAGATATTGCTTGTTTAAGCAGCAAACATGTCATCTTTTCTCTTGAAACTCAAGTTCTTAGTGAGTAAACCTGTGAGGGTCAAAGTAGTTAAGATGAAAGCATAAATAGTGAAGGTTTTAAAGGCCAGACTATAAGAGCCCAGTGTGAACTGTTTGTTACATTGATGTGGCTGAACCATTACACCTTTGAAATCATGAGTAATAAAAGCAAAATGTGTATGAAAAGCAGTAAGCTGCTTGCTGGAGACAGAAAGATGAGTAAAAATGTGGTTCCTACTTTCATGACTTCTTTCTCCTTCTGGGTGGCTTTCTTCTCCTATCACTTGTAAACAGCTAGAGAATAAGAACTCATGTTATTATTGGTATAAACAAAAACATATATCTAACTATTAGGAAAAGTAAATGGTCAAAGCACTTTATAAAGTTCAATGTTTAAAATTTAATGTTTGGCCGGGCACGGTGGCTCACGTCTGTAATCCCAGCACTTTGGGAGGCTGAGGCAGGCAGATCACCTGAGGTCAGGAGTTTGAGACCAGCCTGGCCAACATGGCAAAATCCAGTCTCTACTAAAAGTACAAAAATTAGCCAGGCATGGTGGCAGGTGCCTGTAATCCCAGCTACTTGGGAGGCTGAGGCAGGAGAATCGCTTGAACCCAGGAAGCAGAGGTTGCAGTGAGCCGAGATTGCACCACTGCACTCCAGCGTGGGCGACAGAGCGAGACTTCATCTTCATCTCAATCAATCAATCAATCAATCAATCAATCAATGTCAGTGTTTGAATTCTCAACTTTATTTTTCTTTTTTGAGATGAGGTCTCACTCTGTCACCCAGGCTGGAGTGCGGTGGCATGATATCGGCTCACGGCAGCCTCCACCTCCTGGCCTCAAGTGATCCTCCCACCTCAGCTTCCTGAGTGGCTGGGACCACAGGTATGCACCACCATGCCCACCTAAATTTTTTTGTATTTTTGGTAAAGACAGGGTTTTGTCATGTTGCCCAGGCTGGTCTTGAACTCCTGAGCTCAAGCTATCTGCCTGCCTTGGCCTCCCAAAGTGCTGGGATGACAGGCATCAGCTACCATGCCCAGCCAAACTCTGAACTTTTTAAATGATTAAAGCACTTTAGATAATTTAAAATTATCTACTTCATTGTTCCCCCTTAGTATGAATCACTGAGAATTAATGATATTTTTAAAGTAGTATTCTCATATTCAGAAGTGTATTTTACATTCTTTGCCTACATAGATCTCTCCCTTTGAGTTATCGCTGCACTTTTTGGTACCAGAATTTTTGTGGTTTTACATCACGTTGTTTCATGTACGTAAATCCAATCTGTTCAACAAGACACTCAGAATCTTCAAATAGATTCCTATTTTAAAAATACTTAAAAGACTAGCAAAATACAGCTCAAAGTAGGCATGCAGTGAATTGCTTCACTCATGATTCATTCACACCATGAATATTTGAATGCAACCTTAAACAAGACACAATGCTAGCGAGGTGCTAGAGGTATTAAAGTCAAATAAATTACATAGCACTTGTCTTCAGTGAGTTTTCCATCTAGGTGGAGGGAGCTTGACAAGTCTGGAGAGTGATATGCCCGGGGTGCCATGGGGACATAAGGAGGGTAATCAGAATCAAAGCAGGGGAGGTGAGTGTGGTAGGGAGGTTCTCAGATTGAGGACATGACAGGAGATTCGAGGGCTAAATACATTTCTGGATTTTATCTCTGTGGAAATATGTTTATATATAGGAGATCACATTATAAGCATGATCCCTTTTTAAAATATGTTGAGTGGTGTCATTCCTAAATCCACCTGAGGATGCTTATTATTAAAAGCCCAGGCCCCCTTGTTGCTCTCAGCTTGGTGCTTCTGGCAGCCAGCTAGGTGCTAGTCTGTTTTGTTCTTCTCCAGGACAGCCACTACCTTCTCTATCCCCAAGGGTACTATTCTGCTCTTAAATTGCTGTTCCCAAATACAAACCTGCAAATCTATTCCATGTACGGGTTTTACTGTTTTATTACCGTGGAGGAATGGGATAACAAAAAGCTGTTAAGATGTTGGACTTCACCTTTAATGCTCATTGGCATTATCCGGGGAGCTTGAAAAATACTGATGCCAGGTGCCACTCTAGACAAATCAAGTCACAAACTCAGTGAATGGGGCTAAAACCCTTTACTATTTCTGACAATAGTTCCTCCCTTAATTAGGATACTCCTGCTTTCAAGCGTTGTAGCCTAAAACTGCAATCAAGGCCCAAACACAAAAACGTACTGAGTTTGTCCTCTGTGCCTGGCACTAGGAAGAGCAATAGTGGAACCCCCTAAGTGGTTGGTTTGCATTTTTTTACGTTCCTAGACTACATAGCATCCCTTTAGCATGGTTGGCGTGCATTTTTAAAGATCCTAGTCTACATAGCATTCCTTTGGGTGTATCTTTTCAGTGTCAAAGCAATTTCAGCAAATACAGAATTACAGAATATTGAACAATAATAAATGCTTTGTAGGCTGCTTATGGAACACTTATTTTGTGCTAGGTACCTTTTATTAGTTAACTTATTTCTGTGAGGGAAGCATAATTTCAGCTACTTTACTAAAATGGAAACTGAGACTCAGCTAGATGAAAATATTTGCCCAAAGTCATATAGCCAGTAAAAGGTAGAGCTAGTATCTGACAGACTTGATTTTTATAAAGCTCATGTACTTTCTGCTATTGCTATGTGGTTTCATTTAAAGTTTTTTTCAAAGTACCTTTATATATAACAAGAACACATATAGTTATCTGTGTTCATCATCAGCATTTCCAGTGACTAAAAAACTTATTATGTTATACAGCAATCATGCAAGAGTACTTCTTGTCACAAAATACTTTGGGCCATTCATTTGAAAATATGCTTTGATTTTACTAAAAACTTAAAATGCCTGGTATTCAAATCTTCATTGATGCCATGTATCTTTTACCTAGAAGTAGCTAGATTGTGGAACTTAAAAAAAAGTCTTCTGATGATCAGAAAATAAGAATAAAACCTCTTAGGAATTTGAGATGAATATAAAGGGAAGGATCAGATATATCACAGGGTTAATGAGTGTATTCTTAATATAAAATAAAGATTGGGAAATGTCTTTGTATTTTGTCTGAAAACCATCAAGAGTAGAGATCAAGAGCAAAGTTCAGGAACATATGGAAGGTATAAGAAAGGTTTAGAGACTTGAAAGATGGATTACATGCTCAATACATGATGGGACCAATTTTTTTTTCCTTTCGAAATGACTGATTATTGTTTTTTTAAAAAACCAAATTAACCAGCCTCTTTTACATCACTTAGGTAGCAGGCACTTGTAAAATATAGTGACTATATTTTACCTTCTGAGAAGGTAAAAAATATCATTTGTGGCAAAGATAATTTTTTAAAGATAGACCAAACAAATGCAAATTGTGGACTAACAGTTTTAACCAATATAATCTTTTTAAAAAGCTAATTTAAATAACAGCATATGTCTGAAATAAACATGTACTACTTCAAAATTATATTTTAGAAATAAGATTTTATCCACTTTTAGGAAGAGTCTACAGTCCATGTAGGCCGCATGTTGAAAGAAAATCACTGTCTTGTTGCACTACACATGTGTAAGCATGATATAAAAAACAGTGGTATACAACAGTTATGTGATGCACTGTATCTGAACAGTAGCCTGCGCTACCTTGATGTCAGCTGGTAAGTGATAATTTACACATTAATAATTCAAAGTTAAATAATGGGAATAATCTATATAAATATTCATGGTACTTGGGATACGTTGTTAGACATTATTTCCAATGATTAGAAACTGCAACCAATTGTCAATCCTTTGTCCTAAGCTTTAATATTTAATACTGCTATCTTTTAGTAACATAAATGAGCAATTTAGTTGTGTAAACAAGAATGAAAGCAATATTTTATGGTGAATTTTCATTAACTTTCTTGGAAATCAAGTGGTTAAAATAAACCTTTACTAAAACAGAAAGTACTGTTTAAGTTTTCAAGCATCTTATCACTATGAATAAAAACACTATTTCATATTTTCAAATATAACTATTTTTCCTTTGCCAGCAACAAAATAACTCATGATGGAATGGTGTATTTGGCTGATGTACTGAAAAGCAACACTACCCTGGAAGTAATAGATCTTTCCTTTAACAGAATAGAAAATGCAGGCGCAAACTATCTCAGTGAAACTCTTACTTCACACAACAGGAGTCTTAAAGCGTTAGTATGGTTTTATATTTAATCAAAATAACAGAAAAGCAAATTTTTAAATACTAACCTCAATCCCCTTAACTCTTAAGATTATAATGAAATATGAAAACTCAGCTTCTAAACTGACATAGTATTAAGTTACAGTAAACATTTACATTTCTATTTTTCAAATGTAATGTCTTTTACAATTAGACTGATTCTATTAACGATTCCTTCAAATTAATGAGAAAATTTGCATTGCTTATATTACTTATCCTGAATTCTAATAGAAAACTCAGAAGCATTCAATATGATCAAGACTTTTAAAAGTAAGAATGAACTAAAGAATAAAATACTTGGATGCATTTATCCAGAAAAATATATCTGCTATCCACCCAAACATTTACTGAATAATATAAAACAGAAGACTTTCAAAATGTAGTTAGCTCTACTAAGTACCTTAAGGATCTAATTAGAAAACTAAGTTTCTTGGATTTTAGGAATTAAATGGTCAGTATTTTTACCACTACATTACAACATACTGAAGAATAATGCTAAGACTACACAAGAAAGTGTTTGTAATAAATGTTGCTAATTTTTGTATTCTTTCCTTGTGGAATTATTGGTTTCAGGTTGTCAGTAGTCAGCAACAACATAGAGGGAGAAGGACTTGTTGCACTTTCACAATCAATGAAAACAAATCTCACTTTCTCTCATATCTACATTTGGGGAAACAAATTTGATGAGGCTACGTGTATAGTAAGTTTTAAGTTTTTTCCTTCACTGAAGGCTTTTTCTGGGATCATCTCTGTAACATCAGATATTATTTACAGGTGCCTCAGAAATGGTTACACAGTGAGACACTGCAGTTTTGATAATTAACATAAGTCTTAAAATTAACTACTAGAGAGTTTGGTGGTTCAAATAACCAAAGATATTAAAACTATGTATTAGTATTACACATCACTGAATGACACAGTTCTAATTCCTCTAAGGTTAAGAAAAATCATAATTATTGATCAGATGTAGCAAAATTTCTGATCTGCTCCCTAATAATTATACCAAAATATGGAATGGGAGAGATAGAGTACAAGCTATCAAAATATTTGGCATGTTGCTCACATAAATACAGACAGCCTTTGATACTACTTTCAAAACAGAAATAATGGTAACAGTTTTCATTTGGAAAGAACGAGGGGGAAAAAGTAGATGTTAAAATTCTCAAAATTTGCAAAAGGACTAACAAAAATTCCACCACTAAAAAGAGTAATAAAACATAGAGTGTTGTCTAAACCACCCTCCCAAAAAAACCAACCCTTACTTTTAGAAAAACATCCATAATTCTTTAGGTTCTACACATCAGTAGCTGAATAAGTTGAGTCTGGAACTGGAACTAATGATGAATGACAAGCTAAAGCAAAAACCAACTTGACTTTTAAATCTTTTAATGTCTAAATTTCCATCTTTCTCCATATTGCCAACCTTACTGACAAACCAGTTCAACGTATTTGTATGACTCTGTTACATAGATACTAAGGATCGTGGCTCATGCCTGTAATCCCAGCACTTTGGGAGGCTAAGGCGGGGGGATCACGAGGTCAAGAGATTGAGACCATCCTGGCCAACATGGTGAAACCCCATCTCTACTAAAAGTACAAAAATTAGCTGGGTGTGGTGGTGCGCTGGGCCTGTAGTCCCAGCTATTCGGGAGGCTGAGGCAGGAGAATCTCTTGAACCCAGGAGGCAGGGGTTGCAGTGAGCCGAGATCGTGCCACTGCACTCCAGCTTGGCGACAGAGCAAGACTCTGTCTCAAAAAAAAAAAAAAAGTATAAAAATTCTACAATGAAGAAATAATTAATAGGTCCGCATCCAATACTATGGAATTGTCTGTTTTAGCCTAAATCTGTAGATTAGATTCAGGGGGGTCATGAACTCTATATAATTGTATGTCCAAATCTGGGATTCCCTTAATTTTTCTGAGGAATGGGTAACTAGCTATCAGCAGATTTTTGAGAATGTATACAATAGGCCTCCTACCGAGCCCCCCTACCTATTCCAATTTATGAACATCTGTGGGACTTGAAAATTTTGACCATAGGAGCTTTGGTCCACAAAATTGGTAGTATAGAAAATCAACTCTAGGAGTCACAAAATGACAAAACATGTCTAATACATTAAAAGTTAGAAATAAGTTTTGCAATATTATAATTTCATTCTGTGTAATTAAATGAATAAAAATCTATTTACAATACCTGGAAAATATTAAAATTCAGCAATGTTATTCAGAATATTTTATTTTAAACTACAAATTAGCACAGCTAATTTGAATATTTAAATTTCCGTAAGCACTGTAAATTGAATACATTTTTTCTTAATGATATAGTTTTTTTCCTAAAAATCCTAGGCATATTCAGACTTAATTCAAATGGGTTGTCTAAAACCAGACAATACAGATGTGGAGCCATTTGTGGTAGATGGACGTGTATATCTTGCAGAAGTCTCCAATGGCCTTAAAAAGCATTATTATTGGACATCAACTTATGGAGAATCTTATGACCACTCATCTAATGCAGGTTTTGCTCTTGTTCCAGTAGGTCAACAGCCATGAAAAAGTAGCTGTAAAATAATTTTCATACACTTGTCTTATTGTTTCACAGAGATTAATATTCTATAGCCTATTTTCTTTTATAAATTAAAACAAGTTACTTTTTTCAAATGTGTAAAAGATAATGACTGTATTAAACTTTGTATAACTGTCTATTGTGAAAAACTGAGTAGGGTAATTTTTTAAAAGAAATTTTACAATATAGAGACTAAAATTCTAACCCTGGAGAAAGAGACCAAGGAACTAGACTAAATTTCTTTTTATAATGAAAATATAACCAAGTAGTGAAATAGCGTACAAGTAAAGGTCATTGTAGGTATCTAACTGAAAGTTATTAAGTAGTATTAATAAAAAGGTTTGTGGTAGAAAATTACCAGTGACTTTCAAAGGGTTTCAAAGTTCAGAAGTTGAAAAAGTATTCTACCTATCCTATTTACGTGTTACAGACAGGTGTTACTAACAATTTCATAAATACAGGCAAATATATATAAACATATACATACCCCTTTCCCAACAAGCCAGTGCTGCCAGCTCTCCCACTCTCCTCTCATAACCACTATCCTGACTTCTAACCCCACAGAGTAGTTTTGCCTGTTCTTGACCTTTATATAAATGGAAGCATACAGTATACACTCTCTTTGTGTCTGGCTTCTTTTGTTCAACATTATATTAGTATGATTCATTTATGTTGTTTCATGTAGCAGTAGTCTGTTCACTTTTCATTGCTTTGTAGTATTCCTCACATGCTGGGTAGTAGGATGTCTACCAGATTCTGGAAAGAGTTTGATTTCCCAGGCTACTGTCTCTTCCTGTGTGCTATAGAAGAGACCCACAAGTTCCCATATTCCCCCAAAGGGAGATTCAGAAGATGGCTGAAGGAGAAGCAAGTAGGCTTACCTTGAGCTTACAGTGGGGTGCAGGTGGTAAACCTGTAACCTGACCTACACTGCTGCTTGAGGCAGAGTTGCAGGTGATAGGGCCTCAGAGAGTTTTCCGCATCCAAAAGAACTGAGATGAAGTCAGTTCAGCCAAGGACAACTGGACTCTGACCAGACTAGGAAAGACTTGTTACTTATTTTATAAGCTGCTGCCTGCCACAACAGAGGTCAGTATAATTAACCCAGAGAATGGAAGGGCTCCACAAAGACTCTGTCTACCCTGATGCCCCTGTCTTGTATGATATGTCTGGACACCATTTTAGAAAGACAAAAGGCAGAAATAAAACAGCATTTCTCCAAAAGATTAAGCATTACCTTAAAATCCCTTAAGATATAAATTCTATCCCCTTTATATCAGACTAGGTTTTAAACTGGCTAAAACTAAAAGTTAATTTTTTCCAGACTTACCACTGGGTATGGGCTCAAGAGGAAGGACATATAAGTTCCATAGGAAAACTCTCATTTTCTCTGCACATCTAAATTATAAAGAGCAAATCTGCAATCATATTGTATGTATTGTTTCATTTTTCTCTTAGCAATCATCCTTTAAGACCCAGTTCAAAGACTGCTTCACCTTACACTGTTGCAGATCATATTATACTCATCATTTTACAATGTTTCAAATTTGAAAGCAAAAAATAAAGCAGTATGTGCTTTTCAGATATTTGGGAAAATAATGATCATTTGTCTTAAACGTTCTCCTTTTCAAACTTTTCTATAGTATTATCATTCATCATGTCTTCTTAATATCTACTACAACCATATCCATCTGGTTTCTGCTCCCACTATTATACTGTACCTGCCTTCTAAAGGATCATCATGCTCCAATTATCCAGCCCAATGTTGTCTCAGATTTACATCCTACTTCTCTGTACCATGTGACTGCTACAAAGCCACTTTTGCCTCTGAAAAATGTGTGCCACCTTGGTTTTCTTCCTTTCTGCTATCACTTTCCATCTTCTTTTCCGTCTTTGCTTATCCTTTAAATGAATTTTCCCCCAAATTCTGTCCTCATCTTTTTTTCTCCTATACCATCTCCCAGGGCTGCCTTAATCATTTCTATAAATTATTAGCTGCAAGATCTGTATCTCTAGTTTTAACATCTCCTGGTTCAGGCCCCATTTCCAACCACTACCAGAAATTTCCTACATATCTCACCACCAGTCAAATTCGGTACATCAAAATTGCTTCCCTTCTCTAAACATGCTCCTTGACTTATCTTGATGTCAATGGTATCACTATCCTCTCAATCACCAAGGATCAAAGCTTAGGTGTCCAATTTGGGGCTGCCTGATTACAAGGAAAAGAAAGTGACTCAGCCTGTTTAAGAAAAGGGGGATTTAACATAAGGATACAACAGCCACAATCAATGGCATCCAGGGGCAGAAAATGAATCATGGCTGCATCACCTCAGTAGGACTGCAGAGCCAGAAACTAAGGCCACTTTTCTGATCTCTCTAGGGCAGTCTCTTGGCTCTGCAAACCTGTTTCATTCCCTAACTTTGCTCTATAGATCAGCTTTCTCTGCTTACTCATCATTTCCTTTAGACTTTAGCTTGCTTCACTGACTTCAAGGCCAGTTCTAAAATGATCTTTTCATTTATACGTATATCATTATCTGATTGTCTCAGAATTTCATAGCTCAAATTTGTGAGAAAGAATCTTACCAGCTCAGTCTAGCCTATGAATTGTTTTTCCCTGGTGAAGTGTCTTGTTGCTGTGGTCACCAGTATGGAATCATGTGTTACCTATGTGGCTGTCTAATCCCCACCCTCTAGCACGCAACTGTGGTTGGCACGTGAGGACATAGGTTACAAACCTGGCTATCTAATCTCACTCCTTCAGCACAGGATATGGGTAGAGGACTATTTCAAGATGGTATAGGTGTAGTACTGGAGATGCCTCTGACCTCTATCTCCTCTCCACTTAATGCTTTCTCTCCATTCTGCCTAGTTCCCTCTTCATCAGCTATGTGCAAATTCTTCCATCAGCCATCTCCTCGTTTGCCTATCCAGGTAAGCAATGGCTGTTTCTCTGTCCATTCTACTCCTGTTGACTGCTCAGCAGTTCCTTTCTTGCCTTCCCCTACTATAACACTCAACATCTTGGCTTGTCTTATTGCAAGTTATATTTATGCTTGGCATCTCCATTTGACTGTAAACTTAAGGGTAGTTTATCATCTTTGCAGCTTTATGCATTCTGATTTGAATTTTTTTCCCAGCATTTGAAACACTGGCCAGATACTGTTATCCAAATATGTGGATGTTCACATCCATGGTGTTTATTTTAGTAAATTCTTCATGAAATTAAATACTGTGTTTACATGGTAATTATCTAATTTCTTAAACAAATACAGATGGTCCCTGACTTATGATTTCTTGACTTTACAATGTGTGAAACTAATACATATTCAGTATACTCTTTGACTTATGATAAACCCATAAGTCAAGGAGTCTCTGTACAGCAAACCTCTTTTGAATGAATGGAGGCAGGAGTTGCAGAGGACAGAAGAGTAGACTATAATTATTATCTCAAAAAATTAATGCTGTAATAAGTACATATCAATATTGCCCATAAATAACGAGTAAAAATGTAGAATTTAAAGAATTTTACTTGATGGTATTTCTAGTCAAGTTCTAGGTAGTTGGGGGGAGAGGGGAAGGATAGCATTAGGAGGAATACCTAATGTAAATGACGAGTTAATGGGTGCAGCACAGCAACATGGCACATGTATACATATGTAACAAACCTGCATGCTGTGCACATGTACCCTAGAACTTAAAGTATAATAATAATAAGAAAAAAAAAGTTCTAGGTACTCAAAATTTCCAGGTAAAATATTGAAAATTATATTCAAGAGCATCATTTTAAACTGCTTCCCAAAGGTAGAACATCAGGAAATGTTTAAGATAGTAGTTCATGGTTGGGCGCAGTGGCTCATGCCTATAATCCCAGCACTTTGGGAGGCTGAGGTGGGCAGATCACCTGAGGTCAGGAGTTCGAGACCAGCCTGGCCAACAGAATGAAACCCCATCTCTAACAAAAATTAGTCAGGTGTGGTGGCGCGCACCTGTAGTACCAGCTACTCAGGAGGCTGAGGCCGGAGAATTGCTTGAATCCAGGAGGCAGAGGTTGCAGTTAGCTGAGATCACGTCATTGCACTCCAGCCTGGGCAACAGAGTGAGACTCTACATGTTTGGTATACATTAAAATCACCTATGGGGCTTCCCCAGCATATATATGCCCTGGGAACTGTCTGATTCAATAGGTGGGGTGGGCCTGGATATTGTTATTTCTTAAGCATGTTTCTGATATGCATTAAATGTTAGAACTATTTAGAATACTTAAAAAAACTAGTACATGTACATTATTTCAACTACTCACACAATTTCTGTAGGACTGAAACACAGAAATTAGCTACTGTTGGAATGAAACTGATAGAACCATTACCTTTGAAAAAAGGTTTTCTAAAATTTGTCTATCAAAATCATCCTGTGAAATTAAACATAAGACAAATGCCATTTAAAAACAGCAAAAAAATTTTTATATAATCTACGGTTTCTTTTAAAATAGTCTAAAATCTAACATACAGTAGGCATGATCTGATACAAATACAAAAGAAAATTAAATTTATTTAGAAAATAGTTTCTCAGTAAGATCTTCACCTTCTAAAGACTTCCATAAAAATATGTAATACTTAAATAATTACTAATAGACCTTTCCCAAAACACTGCATTGTAACAAATATAAAGTTGGACTTAACTAAAATGGTAGTTATGAGTGTTAGAATGATACCAGATACAACTAAATATATGCATATTATGATAAATAATAGCATAGCATTAAGAGAAGAATGCCAAAGAAGGGATAGTATCTTCAAGTTTTCTCTACACATCATTCTAGAAGAGCAGAAAATGATGACAACTCAAGCCATGTCAATTTAAATAAAATTACTTTAGCTAAGAAGCAGAAAATGTGATCAAGAAAAGCTCAATCAATCTTAGCCACTTCAATCGTATCAAATAATACTAAAAATAATAAATTTGAAGGCTAATCTATGCAAAGGCAGAATGCTAATAATACCAGAGGAAATTTGGCAACTATTGCCCTTATAGAATTATGACGTCACTGTAGCAGTTTTTTGTTCATTAGATGCTTGGATTAACGAAGATATAAATAAATTAAACATAACCTCTCCATTTTAGCAAACTTCCTAAAGAGGCTGAGTCTTTTAATTTTCTATAATTTCTTCACATTCCAATACATTCCTATCACATTTAACCCAGAAGAGATTAGGTAACATTCTAATGCTTTGTAAATTGTATTTAAACCCACTATTTTAACTTGATACACATGCATAGATTTCTTAGATAAAATAATCAAATATTGTTTGCATCATACAAAGGTGGTATTTCAAACTCTATTCAAATAAGTCAGTCCCATGTCCCACCAGTGGCAATTTATTATGAAAATAATGTGTGTGCTGTGAAATGGTGAAGATCTCTACAGACTACAAGCATTAAGTGTTTTTATTATGTCCTCTAATTGGTTCTTATGACTTGGGTCCCAAATAGAGAAAATTAATGAATTAAAGAAATCAATACCAATAAAAAACATATTAACTGTACTACAGGTGTAGTTTAAAAGCAGAACACAAAAAAGCCACAGCATGGCAGAAATAAGAAATGATGTCATCTCACACTGAACAACAGCCTTGTGGGGGGAAAAAAAAAGAAAAAGAATATCACCATGCTGTTTGATTGGCACTATAAAAATTGACTTTGTGGAACTCATAATTTCATATCCAAAGATCAGGCAGTGAAATAAATTAATATGTGGGAAAAGTGGCATGGGGATGAGTGGTGCAAATATCAGGATAATAACGAATTTTCTACATTCATTTGGAAGGAAAAGGACCATTGTGAAACTACAACCACCACCAAAAGTTGTGGTTTAATTTATAAAATTAACAAACCCCAAACTTATAGAAAACTCAGATATAAAATATTTAACTATAGTTGGCTTTCTGGTAACTCAAAATGTTTACTTATAATTGAGGTTAATTTCTTAACTCTTTATGCAATATAATGTACCAAATTTAGAAGCCAAGTGATTTCTAGTATGCATTAAGTTTATATCTAGAAAATTCTTTCTGGAATTCAGTATTTATTTTAAAAAGTGCATAACAGGAGTAAGAGAGGCTTACCAAAATATTTCAAAACTCAAGTACATTTTCCTCATCTCCAATATTTTAGAACGGAATAAAACATAAACTGAATCAAATTTTGAAACTGTCTTTGACAAGATAAAAACACCAAATATCTACTTAAAATTCATTTTGAAAATACAATCTCAGATAACTCAAACCAAAAGTGCTGACCATTGGTTTTCTCCAGAATACTCAGTTCTAAATGAACAAAAATTTATATGCACTTTTCTAGATTTTGAGAAACATTTTTGTTTCATTAGAAAAGTTATTTCTAACAATATATTAATAGAGAAATAGCACAATTCTTATTCAGCGCCTAAATTTTTACGAGCGAAAATATGAAATTTTATTTTTATGCATAGTTTATGTATTGATCCATGGGGCTTACAAATAGCAACACACTCTTGGGCTGATACTATCGTGGATTTTGCTTAAATTATGAGGGCAGGAAAATTTTAAAATCCCACAGGTCACAACTGAATCACATTAACTGGCTGATTTAGTAAATGAAGGGCAATTCTAAAATGCAAAATAAAAATGGAATTAAGGCAGCTTTAAAAGAAAATAAAACTCATCCACCCAAAATAGTGCTACATAATTCATTACTTAAAAAGCTCTCTGTGGAGTATAGACATAAAGCCAAAAATAAAAACAAACATTGCAGTTGTGATGCAGCATCAGGTGCTTTTACTTCAGTGAATGAAAAATAATGGTCACAACTCAAATGAATGGGAATTTAATATGAATATATGCACCTTACCAGAGATGTTTGCTACCAATGATATCTTAGCAATTCCATATTCCTTACAAAGTCAGTATAATTGTTGTAAAAAAATCAACTGTGGTTCTGAATACCCATTCACAGTTGACCTCAACAATGTATCTGATGTAGGAGACTGAGTATCCGTGACAGGCAGAAGCATGTGATGGTCCTCAGTCCCAAGTGGAAGAGCTAATGGTAAAGTCATATCAGAAGGCTTCACATCCATAGTTTCTGATAAAGGACTTTTTTGTATGGAATCCTGTTCACTCAAAGTATGATCCTCTGCACTGGAGTCTAGAGTTTTATCTGCACCTAGAATGGAAGGAAAAAAAAATCTACATTATCTTTAAAACAAAACTAAACCCCTGAGGTAGACTAATGTACTTACCATTCCCAGAAATTACATTCCAACCACCATACCTTTACTCAAGCGGTTTCTCTTTTGTACATATGCCCTCCTCACTATCTATGTAAATTCAATCTGGGCCTCAAGGTTAAGTTCAAGCACCAACTCCATTTAAAAAAATGGACTTGATTAAGAATGAAACAGGGTGAGCTGTTATATCGGCTTAATCACACATTTGTCAATTTTCATATACTGCCTTGTGGCATCTATCTCTCTTATTGCCATTTAACATTCTACTCAGGTATGCCTTGAATCCTCAACCAGACTGTAAATTCTTTGAGAGTAAATGTCGTTATACTTCTTTAACTCCCTCAAAATATTAAACAGTGATAAGAAATACTCTTTTCATTCACTGAATGTTTTTAATAAGTTGTTCATATTATTCTGTGAGTTCAGAACAGTATGTATGGCACTTTCATATATTTTCAGAGGTGAGAAATTCTGCTCTACTCAAGGGAGCAATCAGCACACTGACTAAAGATGTACTTTTGCCTTCAAATTTTCCAATGGCTTTAACATGCTTCCGTTACTCTAAAGTGTTGACATGATTTTGGTTTCACCGTCCTTGTCACGCAGACAAAACTGCTTTCGTAAAATTGTAATTATCTGTATTCTTCCCAAACTACTCTTCACTTCAACTAGCTAAGGTTTCCTTCTTGTCCCACTGACTCTCTACAGTGTTCTCTGCCCGGAATGAATCCTCTCTTCCCATCTCCATCTTTGAACTCTTCTCCATCCTTCAAGTTAAAATTAAGTTTTTTTTAGTACTTACCTCAGAAAAACATAGTATCTTCTTTAGCACTTTTGTGTCGATTATGCCCTACATTTTCCCTATTTATTTAGTTTATTTAATTATTTATTTAGGTTTCTGGTCTCGCACACCAGGTTGTAAGTGCTTTGAGTACCAGAACTATGCCTTGTTTAACTTCATATTCCCTGAAAGTACACTTTACAGAAATTTAACAAGTGGTTAAATTAATGACTTACTGCAGTTTTTAGATGTTTCTAACTTAATACTTACGATGTTTAAGTATTTACACACCAGAAGGGCCTAGTGTCATGTCGAATAATGACGGAATAAAATGGTAAGCACAGGGAAACTTTTTCAAGAATTCACTTTAACCAATAGACTCAAAACTTGTTGTTTGGCTTTCCATTTTTATATATTATAACAATGTAGGGCTACCTGTTTCCCTATTTCCTCTTAAACATTTCTGGACTAGTGTTCATGATAACACCACCCCCCCCCCCTTTTTTTTCATAATAACCATAGTAAACCCTGAGTTATCCAGACTCCAGTATGGGAAACAGTGACACATAGCTTGCTTATATGTTCCTTCATGCTTGGGACTGTTATTAAGTCAGGTTTTCAAAGGAGGAAATGTTTCAAGTTTTTTTTTTTTTTTTTTAAATAAGAGATTCAATATGAAAAATCCAGAGTGAATGTTTCTGCAAAAAAGCTACTTTCCTCACATGTATATACCTAGTTTTTGAAATAGACATCTAATTTAAACTGCTTAAATGTAAATCTCATCTCAGCATTTTAAGGAATAGCACTAATATGAGCACCAAATTAAAACAAACAAACAAGCAAACAAAACACAAGCATTTACCAGAATGGACTTTTGTTTTGTGCTTCTTTAAATTTTTAATATCTGTGTAAGAATTTCCACATAATTCGCAGATAAATGGTCTTTCTCCTGAAAAACAAATTAGAAGTTTAAATTTCAATATTTTAAAAGCTGCTAGCTAAGACAAAAATATCAATGTTTATGAACACAAGGCAAAAATTATTATAGTGTTTAAATTTGGTTTCAAATTGTCACTTTAATCACCTGGTTATAATATAGTGAAATGAAAGATTCTATACAACCTAGACACTCCTTTATACAAAAAATCTGTATCTCAAGAAAACTTGAGCATTTTCATAAACAGAAATGTATCTGCAAACTAAAACAAACAAAAGCCTACTCTTGTATTTCTATGAAACATTTAGTGAGTGTCAGTTATATGCCAGACACTGGCTAAGAGATACAGCTGGGAGAAAATAAGTGTAATAATCATGGTTTCTGCTCTCAGGTACCTGGCAAATTAGAAAATCCTTAAAAATACTGACAGCATGCTACAATATTACACTTCTTTGGAAATAACTGTTCAGTGCTTTATGGTGTAAACTAAAGCGCGTCAGAATATAAAGTCACCAAAAACTTACTAAATCTCTATTAAGTACTCACATTATTCTAGGTAGGAATTATGAGAAGGAATTTTTAAAAAGAGAATGTCAGAACAGTACTCTTTCAAAGTGGCATTTTCCTTTGTTTTAAAATTTTTTACATTCAATATTTTCTTTATACAATTTACAAACTACTTTTTACAATAAGCATGTCAAAATTAAAATTTGTTCCTAAAAATTGCATACTAAACACTGTTTAGTAAGAAAATCTGATGTTATCTTGGTATTACCTATTCCTTTTCATTTCTTGGTATATCTGTGCAATTTAATCCAAATCATTTAAAAACTATTGATTATCTGGCATATTTCTTGGAAAACCAACACAATTCTTTAACAAATTTAATTCATACTCCAAACAACTAAAAAAAAAACAAAATAAGCAAATAAGTTGATATTTATACATTAAGATATTGCTATAGGTACAGTATGACTAAATACCATATAGTCCATAATGGCTTAAAAGTCAAGGTTTACATAAAAAGAAATTAAGAGAGAACAAAAAATAATACGTTCTCCCTAAACACAGACCTGTATGGGACCGAAAGTGTTTGTTGAGCTCTCCTGAGGAAATAAAACTTTTCCCACAAATACCACATATGTATGGTTTTTCACCTAGATGGAAAATAAAAGATAGCGAAGTGGTGTACTATACCAATATAATATTTATCAATTACAAATAATCTAAAGTAAGCTTTTCTGGAATATTATTTAAATTAAAATCTCTCTATATTGTACTTTAGAGGTATTTTCAGTGATCCAAGTAAATGAATATTAGTAATTATTGTATACTGTTCATAAGTTTTCATATATTAAAACTTTATTCCTCAAAATGTCCCTTCTAATAGAGATGATTTGGGCAAGGAATTTGATTTTTATATGATTAAGAACATGTCAATTCATAAACCCACATTTCTATTCTTGCTATCTACTATATTAATAAAGGAGAATAAAAGTATGTAGGGAAGTCTTTTAAAAAATGTACCCTAAAAAAGCAATTTGTTTCCAAACTGCTATTTTGCATCTGAATTACCTTATTTGAAAATCCCAGAATATCTGTGTAGGAAAGGTCCTAAGAAGTTTAAAAATCCATGTTCAACCCAAACCCACTCCCCAACCCTAACTATAGGAGATGACCCTTTAGGAAGCTGAAAAGGTTTTTATAAAGTCACAAAATGCATCTCAATGCAAGTTTATATAATATCAAAATTATCTCACTGATTTTAATGTGTAAGTTATATAATTTATTTCACCCACCTTGTATTATTCTAGAAAATAAGTCAGCTTTTATATTTAACAAATATGTGCAAAAATCATAAACATAGCTTATAGAAATATAAACAGATATCTAACTACAAAGTTTCCGATCTACTTCGCTAAAAGGCCCAAGTCCCCTTTTTCTTTTATTTATAACTTTATTTTAAGCAGTCTCTCCCTGTCAAACTTACCTGTATGTTTTCGAGAATGAGTGATAAGAGAACTAGAGACAGCAAATGCCTTCCCACAGGTATCACATACATAAGGCTTTTCTCCAGTATGCCTACGGACATGATAGGTCAGTGTGCTGGCTTGAGCAAATCTCTGTCCACACCTATCACAGACATATGGCTTCTCTCCACTATGCTTCCTGTTAGTAAATAAAGTTAAATAAGTAAAACAATTTGGAGGTCAGTCTATATAGCAAGAATTCATAAAGTTTTTTATAGATTTTATTTCATGTCATCTTAACAGGCCAAGACTATGTATTTAAAATCAGTAGTTGTTTCAGTGTAAACACTGCCAAAAACAAATATTTCTTATTATCAAAACATTAGTTCTGAGATCAGTTCAAAAAGTTTTTCCATGATCTTTATATGGTTGTCAGTGGGCCCCTAATACTGCAGGCAATTATTTTCATGAGTCTAGTCACTCTTTGACTTGTGAACTCTCTCCTCAAACCATCAGCATCTCCTTGCCCATTGTAACTCTCAGGTGACATCCCTGCTTCCTATTTCACTGAGAAAAATTCATATGACATGAGGGTGACAGTTCATCTGAATCCATCAATTCCAATTTGTATACTTGAGATCCTACTTAATGATATCACTTCTGCAGTTTCCCCAGTCCTACATCATCCATGTTTCTCACTCCATTGGATTATGGTATACAAATATACTGATGTCTCCCATATTAAAAAAAAACCAAAAACAAAACAAAGACCCTTGACCTTACTTGCTCCTCCATTCTCTGCTCCCCTTTACCAAAACCTTGAGACTCCAAGTGTTCTATCTACTTCCATTTCTTCTCTACTGGCCTCTACTAATGATACTTTTGTCAAGAGCACTGCTGACTTCCCACTTTACTAAATCCACGTCAGTTCTCAGTCTTCATCTCCCTATCACAGAATTTTACAATTGACCACTCCCATCTGGAATAACTTCCTTCACTTGGGATTCCAGGGCAGCCCTCTTTCCTGGTTTTCCTCCTCTACTGGCTGCTCCTTCCTAGTTACCTCTGCTGGTTCTCACCCATCTCTCAGAACTCATAAAGTTAGAGTGCCTCAGGGCCGTCTTTTGATTTCTTCTGTCCACATTCACTCTCTTGGTGACCTTAGCCAGGGTTACAGCTTTAAATACTGTCATATGCTGATGACTGCCAAACGCTAATGATTGCCAAACTGTTATCTTCAGCTCAAACCAGTCCCCTGAACTGCAGACTTAGATAACCAATTATCTATTGCACACCTCTATTCAGAAGTGTTAAGTCATCTCAAATTTAACACACACAGAACTGTACTCGTAAATTCCTGCACTTCCACTTAAACTGTTCTACCCACAAACCTTCTCTATCTCAGTTAATGGCAGCTCCATCTTTATAGGGGTTCAGGCCCAAAACCTCAGAATCATCTTTGACTCTCTTCCAGACTTCACATACAATCTGTTTGCAAATTCTATTATTTCTAACTTTAAAATATATCCAGAATCTACTACTACTTATTTCTTTCACTGCTGCCACCCTGGCCTGAACCACCATCACCCTTGCTTGGGTTTTATCTATAGATTCCTGTTTACCCTGATTCCACTCTTATAATCCTATACCAGTCAGAATGATCCTCTTAAGCTGCATTCTGGACCATTCTGATCTTACTTCTGGACGAGTCTGACCTTATTTCCTAGTAGTCCCCACCCCCTGCTTATTTCCTATCAACCACTGTGGCTTCCTTGTGGTTCCTTGAACGTGTTAACATTGTTTGGTGGAACCACAATTACAATTCTACTGTCCTGAATTCTAATATAATAGTCTATTCATAAGACTATGGTGATTAAAAGACTAAAAGATCAAACAACTCATTTGGTTTTTTACCTTGCATGAATCTTGAGATTGCTAGAAGTTGCAAACTGTAAGTTGCATACATCACATTTATAGGGTTTTTCTTCACCATGATGCATGCGACTATGGAAGACTAGCTGACATTTCTGAGCAAATCCTTTATCACACAATTCACATTTGTATGGCTTCTCACCTAAAGGAACAATAAAATTTATATTTAGAAGAAAATAGTGTTTTGGTTGCATAAGTCATATAAGATTTCATCAACAGTACTAGCTTTGTTATTAAGAAAATGTTAACTGTTGGAACTGAAAACAAATATAATCTTTTCCAGACCACTGAAAACACCAGTAGAATCAAAAGAAATTAGTGTTTCTGAATTCACGAGATAAATACATACAGCATTTTAAAAAGTACGAATCTAGGGCTGGGCTCGGTGGCTCACGCCTATAATCCCAGCACTTTGGAAGGCGGAGGCGGGCGGATCACGAGTTCAGGAGATCGAGACCATCCTGGCTAACATGGTGAAACCCAGTCTCTACTAAAAATACAAAAAAATTAGCCGGACTTGGTGGCAGGCACCTGTAATCCCAGCTACTCGGGAGGCTGAGGCAGCAGAATGGCTTGAACCCGGGAGGCGGAGCTTGCAGTGAGCCGAGATCGCACCACTGTACTCCAGCCTGGGCGACACAGTGAGACTCTGTCTCAGAAAAAAAAAAGAAAAAAGTACGAATGTAAACGTACCAATAGGTGCTCATACTTTACAACCAGGCAGAGGACATGCAAAATAAAGGTAACTGTAGAAGCTTAGGGAACACTGTATGTGTAATTCCAATGAACATGTTCAGAAGTCAACAGAGTCTAGAAGTATGTAATGAGAAGTGTTGGCAATATCTGAAAATTGGCCTGAATTGTAATTACATTTTCTCTTTATCAGTTTTAATGTCTTTGTCTCTGTTAAATACTTGGTAAGCTAGAATCAACATACTTATTTGGAGGGAAAATGGTATAAGGAGTTGATGCATTAGGGCTTAAACAGCCATTAAATACTTGGTTACAATTACAAATAAATTTTCAACAGTTTAACACTGTTAAATACTTTGATGAATAGAAAAATATACCAAATTCTGGTCACAAGTAGTGTGTGCTAAGTACTCTCTATAAAAATACACTATATTAGTCACAGTATAAAAATAATATCTCCCCACACACCCGTCTCACCTGTATGAGTTCTTACATGCGTTTTCAGCTGGTTACATTGGGTAAATGCCTTTCCACATAAGTGGCAGACGTAAGGTTTGACTCCTTTATGTATTCTCATGTGCCTTCTCAAACTGCTGGCTTCTGAAAACACTTTCCCACATGTGTTACACATTGGCTTGGCCTTGGAATACCTCTGATCCAGCTCTTCCCCGGAGTTCTCCGCCTCATAAGGACTCTTGACGCTGGCTATATTAGACATAGAGTGTTCTTTCAGAGCACAGTTTGGCTGTGATTTTCCACGTTTCCGTTTCACTGTAACAGTGTGCACAATATCTTGTGCTGGAAAAGTATTTTCCACAACTGATGTCAACTCGAGTTCTGAATTATCATTTATTTGTGCAACTTGTTCTACTACAGGTGTGGGCAGTTTATTTGCATCTAGGAATAATTCAACAGATGCATTCTCTAAGATGTCACTGGGATATTGCACTGTTTTATTCTGCCCTGTTTTCGGGGAGTTGAAAGCCTTCTTCTTCTTTTTCGTTTGAGATGACTTTTTCGCTAACGCGCCTTGTTTAGGATTTGCCTGAATCAAATCTGTAGATACTTCTGATTTCTCTCGATTATTATAATCTCGCAGAGTAAGAAGACAAGTCTGTTGATTCAATTCAATGTTTCCAGTAATACTAGATATCTCTGTAGAAGAAGGATTAGCAATAAAAGCAAAATCTTCCATCTTTATTTTGCATTTAGTGACCACCTCTTCCACTTTGAGATAGTCAGCAGCCTGATGAATTTCTTTAACATTCCAACTGCAAGGAAACAAGGCTACATGACAATATTCTGATCAAAGAAAAACTTTCGAAACAGAGCTGCATATATACTTCAATGTATTTTAAAGACCTAATGAAGCAGAATGCTGAAAAAGACATAACTAAGAGAAAAATAGATTTATAAATTCATTCAGAATAATGTTTAGGTAAAAAATCTCCAATTTTACAGAACTTCAAGAGATGAAAGATAATGGCTATTCACAGCTGACAGTGAACCACTGCAGAAAAATTAAATGTTAAATTTTCTGGCTTTTTTTTTAAAACCCTAGAACACAAAAATAGCTGATGGTAACTCACTACCTCCTCCATTCATCCTGAGGCTTCTTCAGATAGCAACCAACTTTTCTGGATTGGCAAGAGGGAAAGTCTAATGACACTTGTTTCCTACTATTTTCTCCTGCTCCCCTGTGAGGGACTTTAATTATGTTTCCCAAACTTTGCTGTGCATGTGAATCACCCGGGAATCTTGTTAAATGTAGATTCAAATTCAGTAGGTCTGTGATGGGGCCTGAGATTCTGCATTTTTTTTCTGTTTTGAGATGGGGTATTCTTCTGTTGCCCAAGCAGGAGTGCACTGGTATAATGATAACTCACCGCAGCCTTCAACTCCTGGGCTCCTGCGTCAGCTTCCCAAGTAAGTGGGACTACAAGCATGTGCTACCATGCCTGGCTATTTTTTTTGTAGAGGCAGGGTCTTGCTATGCTGCCCAGGCTGGTCTCGAACTCCTGGCCTCAAGTGATCCTCCCACCTTGGGCTCCCAAAGTGCTAGGATTACAAGCGTGAGCCACCAGCACAGCCTGCATTTCTTAATACACTTCCTGGTGATGCCAATGTTGCTTAGAGGAATCCACTTAGAGGAACAAGGTTTTAGAATGTTAAACTCTCTCTAGCAACCCTCCCACCTTTTTTGGTGATACTCAACCCAAATTAGCTGGAGTGTTCGTGATGTGAGAGTTACAAAGAAAGACTTAAGCCACCTTGTTCAATATTCTAGTCAAATGTTTACTAAGCATCTACCATGTGTGGTACTAAGATATTAATAAGTAAATAGTCTCTGCCCTTCAGAAGTTCACAATGTGGTGAAAGGTTGTTTGATTAATCTAGCACTGGCTCTGGCATTACTGGCTGACTTAATTAGGGTAAGTCAGCATCTTTGGGGGGTTCAACTTTCTTAGCTGTAAAATTAGAGTTGAGTTGGTGTTAACACTAAAAACATGACTGTTATAAGTATTTGAGGATGGAAACACACACACACACACACACACCCCTTACCCTCAAATAATCTTCCTACTTGATTTTTTTCCCTAAATATGGTTTATCTTTGGGAAGATGATCTCTTTCCCTCTCTGTTGTAAGTATAAGCCAGAAAAGGGTTTTAATCATAGCTGACAATGTAAATATAGTGCTGGTGATACTATTTTAAAGGACTAAAATTTGAAATAAAATAAAAAATAACTAGTGTCATGAACCTCTAAGATCTCTAAAAGTATGCTACAGTATCTACAAATCTCTACCCATGTTCTCATCATCTTCTAATTAAACTTGCTTTGCCTCAAGTGCCACCTGTATGTTTCCCCTTATTTAATTTAGCATCACAACAGCTTTCTAAAAATTGTCTTTTGGGCTGGGCCACTAAAAAAGATCTTTTGGTCTCTAATTGTGTTTAGTGCTCCATAAAATAAACCGCCAAACAGATAACAAGGTCAGGTAGCCTTTAAGACCAATATAAGTTAGCAGGAAGTCATACATTAATTGTTCAAGGCCGGGTGCAGTTGCTTATGCCTGTAAGGCCAAGGTGGGCGCATCACCTGAGGTCAGGAGTTCAAGACCAGCCTGGCCAACATGGTAAAACCCCGTATCTACAAAATACAAAAATTAGCTGGGCATGATGGCGGGTGCCTGTAATTCCAGCTACTCGGGAGGCTGAGGCAGGAGAATCCCTTGAACCTGGGAGGTGGAGGTTGCAGTGAGCCGAGATCACGCCATTGCACTCCAGCCTGGGTGACAGAGTGAGACTCCATCTCAAAAAAAAAAAAAAAAAAAAAAAAAAATTTGTTCAACATTGAAATGGTAATTCATACAAACTATTTCATAGATGGCTATAATCTCAGTCACAGTTAAGAGCACCAATCAATACTTCAATAACAGATTTGCTTTTGTTTACAAGTATTAGATAACATCCTCTGAACAGTCACTGAAGGTCATTTAATTACATATTGCCAGGTACATGCCTAAATGCTTTATAAGATTATCCTCAGGACATGCCTATGAAATCTATTATAATCCTCATTTTACACACAAGTGAAAAATCAGAAGTCCAAAGAAATAAAGTAACCTGTCCAAGAGCACAGAATGTTAGAACCAAGATTTGACCAAGGTAATCTGGCCCCTGAGCCAACTTAATATATTCTACCTGTTTTCTTAATCACTAAGTTGTAAGCCTTTCTATTTTGGTATAAATCCTCTCTTACATTTCTAGCTGAACTCGAGGAATTAGCTCCCCAGTCTCCAGGAAAGATATGTACCAAAAGAGACTGAACAAAACACCTGGCTGTTCTTCACATTGGTTCTTTGCATGAAGTCTCAAAGAAAAGTGCTCTACCGTGTATTCAAATGAAGATTTTTTTGTTTTGCATAGTTAATTGAGAGAAAGGGAAACCATTAAATTGCAGGCCAGCCAAAATTCACACTGCTCTTTTCCTTTAATCAACTTATAAAGAACTCACTTGAAGATTTCATTATACCAAAATTTAAAAATAATTCCAAAATAGCATGAAAGTTTACTTTTCTCTCCCTCCCCTCCCCCCACTGGATACTTCTTACACAAGAATGTTTCCTCGTCAAAAGGATTAATGAGCACCCTGATTCTAGATTTTTAAATAAGTATATTTCCATGATAAGTTACAATATAAAAGGGAGGGAAAGATTTTGCTTAATGTATACATGCACATCTCTACAGAGATCTGGAAAAGAATTAATTAATATATATCAAAAGGTTAACAGGGGTTATCAGTGGGCAGCAGTATTTCAGGTGTTTCTTTTTTGTTTTTTCTATTTTTTCTCCGAGAAATGTGGAATTAAAGGGGGAGGAGAGGGTAAAGAAGAAAAATAAAGAAATTAACGTTCAGTGGGAAGTGAATAAGGATCAAGTAAAACCTTATTTAGCCTCAAGGTAGTTATTACCATCTCATTTTGACAGATGGGGAAACTGAGGCCCAGAGAGATTGCATCATGCTCAAGGAGACATAGCGACTGACAGGAAAGATCTAATTCCAAAGCCTATAATCTTCCTGTGTCAGAAGATTATGAACAGTCTATTCATGTTCACTTTCATAAGAGAGACAGAAATAAGACAGGGGTAATTTAATCAGTTTCTCTTTGCTTTTATTCCCTCCACCTTTTCCCCTACAATCTGTAAATGTATTGATATTAATCTAATTATATGGTTCGTTATACAGGGGAGACACACAGTGCCTACATTATCAGATTCCTCAGAACCCACTTCTTGTTAATGCAGTGACATCAGTAAGCATCTTAGAGAATCATTCTAGCATCTCTGACCTTACTTCAGTATTAGTACTGGTAGGTTAATAGAGATAACAGGAGTCAGAATGAGGGAGACAGAAGACCAGAGGAATTCAAGGACCAAAAAGCAATGGGAAACTGGAAGTAACTTAGAATTTTTTGTTTGCAGCCTGGCCAGCATGGTGAAACCCTGTCTCTACCAAAAAATACAAAAATTAGCCAGGTGTGGTAGTGCACACCTGTAGTCCCAGTTACTAGGGAGGCTGAGGTGGGAGAATCGCTTGAACCCGGGAGGCAGAGGTTGCAGTGAGCCGAGATTGCCCCACTGCACTCCAGCCTGGGTGACGGTGAGCCCGTCTCAAAAATAAAATAAAATAAATTCATTGTGTTTAATGTTCAAGTTTACATAAGTGAAATCACAGGCTTTGTTTCAGTAAATAAACGTGTCAGAAATCTTACTGTTTATTATCTGTGCTTATGAAAAATATTGCCTGCTCATCCTAAATCAGTGATACTGATTTCTTTATAAAAACAAACATTGTGTGCATAAATAGGTGAAGAATTTGAGTTCAGAGAATGAATGGAAAAAATACAAATCTACTTTTGCTGTGAAGACTACTGACTAGCTTTTATAACTGAAAATAAAATGTGTACTTTACCTGTCAAGATTTAAAGTTCCTGTGTATATAAACTCCAACAGTTTCTGAAATCCATCAGCCTTCACCTGACTCTGATCAAGAAAGACATTGTTCTCAGAAGTGCTTCTGTAGATCGCACCAAAATACTCACTAAAGGAGGCCAGCACATTCCTATGAGCTTTAAACTGGAATTCCCCAATCACTATGGTACAGTCACAGAGAAAACCTGCTTCCCGCTGTTTGTTCAGTCTCTCTAAAAGGTGCTCACAGTGGTGCGAATACTGCATTTTGATATCAGAATGGAATTTTACCCTTGATCTAAAAGACAAAAAGAAACAGTAAATCAGTAACCGTAAGTTCTCATCAACGTTCAGTGAGGGAAGGGACAGAGGACATAACTTAAACAATTTTAGCCCCCTTGAAAATCCTTATCAAACATACATGGTTAAGAATGAAGGGATGAGTGCCTTTCTATCTTTGGTTACCTTGATCAACTAACACAATCCTTTGGACACATCAATAAGTGACGGTGAATGGCAACACTTCTACCACCTGCAAAAAGCACAGCAAAACCTGACGCTTTCACATCTGTTGAACCCTCAGATTTTCAAGCTCAGTAGACATACTTATGTTACAAAAAAATTTTTTAAACCACTAAGACATGATCTCTTGGGACAGATAGGGGCAGAACAGTACGAGTTTTTAAAAACTGCTCTCAAGTCACCAAAACCTGTTAGTTTCCCCAGTGCAGTTTCTCCAAAACGAGAGGTGGCTGCCCAGAAAGCCGGGAATGCGCCCGGCCATGGCTTGCTGTCAAAGGTTCTATCACTCGCGCTAAGGAGGCCACACCTTCTCCCTTCCCACTCTCTACGCGAGGCGGCATCCGAGAGTGACAACCAAAGCCAGTCCCTCCTCGGCTTCTGCCGCCCTGCCCTCTGCCCAGCTCCCACTCCCGCGAATTTCCACAGCAGAGGTTGTGGCCCAGGCCACCCCGGGGCTGCCTAGCCCAAGCCTTCCACCTGCGCCCCGACCCGTGCTGGAACTCCAAGGAGCCTGCCCTCTGATGGCCCAGGCTCTAGAGAGACCGGGATGGCGGGCTGGGGGTGAAGTAGGAACTCACCGATAGCAACCCAAGGGGGGAACACAGTTTCTTCACTCTGTCTCCGCCATCTTGGGAGGACGTCACCGAGCCACGCTCCGCCCCTCCCTTCCTTCCACGGTGGCGTCACGTCCGGCTCTGTCTTCCCGTGGCAGTGCGGGAGGTTCTGGGGCCATGGGGGTCCGGCGCCGGCCAGGGCGGTACAGGATGTACCACAGAGACCCACTCCCCAGCATGCCAGGGGTCCCCCGAAGCAGCAGGCGTCATGGATACGAGAGCTGAGGGCTCGCTAGCTCGCAGCGCTCCGCCTGTCTTCCTCATCGCGAGCATTCTGGTGCCGGCAGTCAGCGTCTGGCGCTCTGCCGGGGCTCTGCGCCGAGGCCCGGCAGCACAGCACCGCGGGCCTCTCTCCTGAAGCCAGCTGCGCACTGCGTGCGGGGGCTTGTAGTTGCTTGTCTTCTCCCATCATCCTCCCCTTCCTCGGGGCCCCACCGGTGGAAACTGCTGCATGTGTACTCGGATCTCTGCCATAGGGGATTTTTTAGCTGAGACTTGGCACCCCTTTCCCGCTTACGTACCTGAAAACTCTTGGCACCCCCTGGTTTTTTTGTGCCCCAGCCAACTGTAGCTCAGCTTCCAAGATGCCCTTACCTGGTGACAGAAGTCTGGGATGCACGAAAGCGGAGCAGCTGGGCACAGTGGGCATGCGCAACATTAGAGGAAGGTGGGCTTTATACCGGAAAAGGTTTTCCTGCGTCTGGACCAGAAGATTTTTAATACGATTATTTACAGCCACTTCAGACGAAAAACCAAGTGATATAATACAAAAATGCTCAGGAGGCGACAGGACTAACCACTTTTACACTTTGATCTTTCCTTCTAGGCTGTACATTATTTTTTCAGTGTTAGCTGGTGAGTCAAATTCATTTTTTAAAACCCGGGACACATGTTCCACGTGGCAAGGCTTCCATAAAAACATTTGGTGAACGAATAAAGTAACAAAAACTTACAGTTCAGACTCTCAAATTGCTATCATGTCTTTTGAAGGACCGGCATACATTAAGCTAAGGCTTCCCTCAGAAAAAAAAACAAAACAAACAACAAAAGAAAACAAAGCGTGATCTCACGCTTTCTTCCAAGCGAAGGAAAAAAAAAAAAAAAAAAAAAGGGATTTTTTAGTGTGTTTCCGCCCGGTTTCGAACCGGGGACCTTTCGCGTGTTAGGCGAACGTGATAACCACTACACTACGGAAACCCCACTTTGGAGAGGGTTTTGTAAAGTCCTTGATATGTAAGTGTCAATTCGCAATTCTCAAGTGATTATTATCAAATTGAGAGGAATGAATATAATGTATTTAAAGAAAAAAACAGAAAAGGAAAAATAGCCTATGCCCAATTGAACAGAGCTGAAACCATTTCAAAAGCTTGAATCTGCACGCACTTTCTTCCAAAGTGCCCGGGTACCGCAGTAGAAACCAGGCACTCCCGAGTTGCCCTTCCTTTGGGTGGCCTTTTTTTTTTTTGTCTCCCTGGAAAGGCGTTTTATTACACATCCTTTCCGCAGGTTGAGCTGCTCAGAGTCCGGGGCGAAGCAGGGGGCTTTCGTTATTCAGCCGCGAAAAAGCCATCCTTTCAGCTTCTGGTGGAAGGACGTGTAAAATTACTTTTGAATTTCCTCTTTTTGCTTCCGAAGACCAAGCAGAAGTTCTAAATTGACTGCTTGTTTTCAAATTCTCTACAGATGTATGCAGAATCAGACACCAAGATGCGTTTATTGACATGCAATGTACTTTCAAATTTTTCCAAACTTGAATTTCATATGACCTGATAAACTTCACTTTTCCTGCAAAAAGACAGGCACGTCCTTCAGCCTAAAAATCAAGAGTAGCGAATGAGGCTTGCAGATTACACCAGAAGGATAGAAATCGAAATATATATATTTATATTTATTATATATAAATATAAATTTTTATATATTTATTATATATAAACATAAATTTTTATATATTTATTATATATAAACATAAATTTTTATATATTTATTATATATAAACAAATTTTTATATATTTATTATATATAAACATAAATTTTTATATATTTATTATATATAAACATAAATTTTTATATTTATTATATATAAACAAATTTTTATATTTATTATATATAAACATAATTTTTTATATATTTATTATATATAAACATAATTTTTTATATATTTATGATATATAAATATAATTTTTTATATATTTATGATATATAAATATAATTTTTTATATATTTATGATATATAAATATAATTTTTTATATATTTATGATATATAAATATAATTTTTTATATATTTATGATATATAAATATAAATTTTTATATATTTATGATATATAAATATAAATTTTTATATATTTATGATATATAAATATAAATTTTTATATATTTATGATATATAAATATAAATTTTTATATATTTATGATATATAAATATAAATTTTTATATATTTATGATATATAAATATAAATTTTTATATATTTATGATATATAAATATAAATTTTTATTTATGATATCTAAATATAAATTTTTATTTATGATATCTAAATATAAATTTTTATTTATGATATCTAAATATAAATTTTTATTTATGATATCTAAATATAAATTTTTATTTATGATATCTAAATATAAATTTTTATATATGATATCTAAATATAAATTTTTATATATGATATCTAAATATAAATTTTTATATATGATATCTAAATATAAATTTTTATATATGATATCTAAATATAAATTTTTATATATGATATCTAAATATAAATTTTTATATATGATATATAAATATAAATTTTTATATATGATATATAAATATAAATTTTTATATATTTATGATATATAAATATAAATTTTTATATATTTATGATATATAAATATAAATTTTTATATATTTATATTTATGATATATAAATATAAATTTTTATATATTTATATTTATGATATATAAATATAAATTTTTATATATTTATATTTATGATATATAAATATAAATTTTTATATATTTATATTTATACATATAATAAATATAAATATAAATTTTTATATATTTATATTTATACATATAATAAATATAAATATATATATTTCGATTTATATCCTTGCTTAAATATATAAATATATATTTTATAAATATATAAATATATTTATATAATATAACATATATTTATATAAATTATATAAATTTATATATTTTTTAATATTTTATATTTAAATTTATATATATTTATATAAATATATATAAATTTATATTTATTTACATATTTAAGCTAGGAACTACTATTTTGTTTTAATTGCGTACATTTTGCTTGGAAATCACAGGAAGAAACACAACAAAGCATTGCCCAAGGTACAGAAACAATAATAAACGTACTTAAAACTCATTTAAATTCCAGCATTTTTCTCCTTATTTTAGAAGTTTAACATTTCAGAAGCAGACACTGCCTCCCTTCCTGCAACAACTTTCTCCTCTTAAGTCTCATTTTTCCCCAGTTTCAAGGGCGAATTCTAGAACTCCCCGGAACCGCCACCAGTTAACCAGAATTCCGTGGCTTTGGAAAATAAAACTGCTGTTATAGCTCTTCTGGGTATTTGAGAAATGCACTTGTGAAGGGTTAGAGTTGAATCTTTTGATGCGAAAGTCGGGTTTTCCTGATACTGGGATTCCGGGATTCCAGGTGTTGGGGTGGCCCAATTCCTGCGAGAAGCAATAGCGGGCGGTAACATGAGGAGCACGGTGCGTCCAGCGAGTCCTTCCGCCTGGGGCCCTGCCGACCCCCTGCCTGCGCCCCCAGGACTCTGGCCTCACCCGGCCGTGCCGGGGCCTCTGTGACGCGGCGTTCCAGGCACTCGGCCCCGGCCGAGCCCGTAGCTAGAGCGGCTCAGAGACAGGAGGCGGCGGCAGCAGCGGCGGCATGAACCACTGCCAGCTACCGGTGGTGATCGACAACGGCTCGGGAATGATCAAGGCGGGCGTGGCTGGGTGCCGGGAGCCCCAGTTTATCTACCCGAACATTATCGGCCGCGCCAAGGGCCAGAGCCGCGCGGCCCAGGGCGGGCTAGAACTCTGCGTGGGCGACCAAGCTCAGGACTGGAGGAGCTCGCTGTTCATCAGGTACCTCCTTCTCCCAGCAGGCTGCTGGGGCTGGGGAGGGTGGGTGGGGTGGGGGTGGGGTAGGGTGGGGCTGGGGAGGTTGGGGGGTGGGGCTGGGGTGGCTGGGGGTGGGGGGACTGGGGGTGTTGTCGGGGGGCAGGAAAGGACCCCAAAGGAGGTGCGCAATGGGGACAGAAAGAATAAGAAAGCCGGGAGCTGGAAAGCCCCATCCAGCTGGAATTACTACAAACGCACGGGCCACAAATCTCCAAGGGTACCACACATCTAAAAACTGAACATTTTGCTCTCTGTGGCTATACAAATGTATTAAAACGTATAAAGTTATCGAACGAATTCATTTAAGAATATTAACTCATGGTCCCTTTTGTCACTTGGGTTATTCTCTTCAATTGACATTTAAACTATACTATAATGTGGACATTTCCCAATTTTTTAAAAGTCACAAGGTTCCAAAGGACAGAGAAAATGGAAAGCAACAAAAATCGCAGAGGTAGGCCGGGCGCGGTGGCTCACGCCTGTAATCCTAGCACTTTGGGAGGCCGAGCAGGGCGGATCACGAGGTCAGGAGTTCGAGACCATCGTGGCTAACACGGTGAAACCCCGTCTCTACTAAAAATACAAAAAAATTAGCCGGGCGTGGTGGCGCGCGCCTGTAGTCCCAGCTACTCAGGAGACTGAGGCAGGAGAATGGCGTGAACCCGGGAGGCGGAGCTTGCAGTGAGCTGAGATCGCGCCACTGCACTCCAGCCTGGGTGACAGAGCGAGACTCTGTCTCCAAAAAAAAAAAAAAAAATTGCAGAGGTAAGTAGCTGTGCTATTTTTGGCTGACACTTACCTGCTGTGAGAGGCTGTGGCAGTTATTGCCCATAAAGGGATATTGGTAATAAACGCGGGGAATTAACTGAGGGTCGAAGACAATAGAAACTAGAAAAATAAAAAGCTGTCATTGATCTTATTGCTTTCCTTACAGTTACCCAGTGGAGCGTGGTCTCATTACTTCATGGGAGGACATGGAGATCATGTGGAAGCATATCTATGACTATAACCTAAAGCTGAAGCCGTGTGATGGCCCAGTCTTGATTACTGAGCCAGCGCTGAACCCACTGGCCAACCGGCAACAGATCACGGAAATGTTTTTTGAGCATCTGGGTGTTCCTGCCTTCTATATGTCCATCCAGGCTGTGCTGGCTCTCTTTGCTGCTGGCTTCACTACTGGCCTTGTGCTGAATTCAGGTGCTGGGGTTACCCAGAGTGTGCCCATCTTTGAGGGTTACTGTCTGCCTCATGGTGTGCAGCAACTGGATCTGGCAGGCCTTGACCTCACCAACTACCTCATGGTGCTAATGAAGAACCATGGTATCATGTTGCTCAGTGCTTCAGACAGAAAGATTGTTGAAGACATCAAGGAGAGCTTTTGTTATGTGGCAATGAACTACGAAGAGGAAATGGCCAAGAAACCCGATTGTCTAGAGAAAGTTTACCAACTACCTGATGGGAAGGTCATCCAGCTCCATGACCAGCTCTTTTCTTGTCCAGAGGCCCTCTTCTCTCCGTGTCATATGAACCTTGAGGCCCCTGGCATTGATAAGATATGCTTCAGCAGCATAATGAAATGTGATACAGGCCTGAGGAATTCCTTCTTTTCCAATATTATCCTTGCCGGGGGATCAACCTCTTTCCCTGGTTTAGACAAGCGGTTAGTTAAGGATATAGCAAAGGTGGCTCCTGCCAACACCGCTGTGCAAGTTATAGCTCCTCCAGAAAGGAAAATATCAGTGTGGATGGGAGGTTCTATTCTTGCATCCTTGTCTGCCTTCCAGGACATGTGGATCACTGCTGCAGAATTTAAAGAAGTTGGACCCAACATAGTACACCAAAGATGCTTCTGAAATACAGATAAAATGGTTGGAAGAAAATGTTTTGAGTATATGTGACAGAAAACTTTGGATATTATATGTTTCTGGGAGAAGAGAAAATACTTCACCTATTGGGATGCCAATATTTCTGTTGTATTTCTATAATGGGTTTGGGGGATAATAATGGTGAAGCTCAAGAACAGATGTCTATTGAGTAGAACCAAGTTAAAATAATGTTTCCCATAGTGTTTCTTCTATAACTTGACGTTGGTGAGCTTATATTTCCCTTGGAAGAGAGCATTTGTGGTACAATATGCTATGTGCCAAATGAGTGATAAGATTTAAGCTTATTGAAGTTTAGGGAAAGAAGGTTGCTGTGGTGAGGAACGAGACTCCATAGCAGAGGTATGCCATCATGGAAGGGGTGGCATTGGGATGGAGCGCAGATATCCAGGCAAGCATACTAAAATGAACAAGTTGCTAAAGATGAGAATGAACAAAGCATATTCAGGGCATGTTTAATAGACTGATTTTGTTTTTAAAATTTTTGTTTATGTATGTATTTATTCATTTATTTAGTTTTAGAGGCAGAGTCTTGCCCTGTGTCCCAGGCTGGAGTGCAGTAGTGCAATCATAGCTCACTGCAGCCTCCAACTCCTGGGCTCTGCCCTCAGCCTCCCAAGTAACTGAATCCACAGGTATGCACCACCACGCCTAAGTTTAGACTGATTTTGTTCAAGTCAAGAGCTCATATAGAGCAGAACAAGCGCTATGACTAGCAAGGTTAAGTGAAGGCCAGGGACTGAAAGGCTTAAAGTGCTAAATATCCAATATGCAAAGGAGAGAAATTAAAGATTTAAAAGCAGGAGCCATAAGGAAACTATGTTATGATGAATGTGATAGTTTGGAGAATAAATTGAATGAGGAAGGCCCTGGAGATTTGGTGATCAGTTAGAAAGTTACTAGTCCACATATAAAGTGCCAAGTCTTGTACTCAAGATTATAAGCAATAGGAATTTAAAAAAAGAAATTATGAAAACTGACAAGATTTAGTGCCTACTTAGATATGAAGGGGAAAGAAGGGTTTGAGATAATGTGGGATGCTAAGAGAATGGTGGTAGTGTTGACATATAACTCAAAGCATTTAGCATCTACTCTATGTAAGGTACTGTGCTAAGTGCAATAGTGCTAAAAACAGGAGTCAGATTCTGTCCGTAAAAAACTTTACAACCTGGCAGATGCTATGAAAGAAAAAGGGGATGGGAGAGAGAGAAGGAGGGAGAG